>NC_000009.12:38343333-38494848 GCF_000001405.40 Homo sapiens | reverse complement strand
ATTCCACCCTCCATAGTATGGGCAGGCCTCATCCAATCAGTGGGAAGCCTAAAGAGAAAAGATTGAGGTCCCCTCGAGGAGAAAGGAGTTCTGCCTCCAGACTACCTTCAGATTCAAGACTGCAACATACACACACACATCATGATGGTTCTATTTCACTCAACAATGCTAATCCAAAGTTTGCTACCAAGAATAGCTCTACAGGAACAAAATCTTAAGAATAAATTTTCTGGATTGGCTCTGAGGTTTCTGGAATTGGTTCTCTAATCTGATTAGATTTAAAGACATCAATTACTCTATTTCCATTGGTGAAGACAGCACTGGCATGATCTGGCAATAGAGACACACACAATGTCACCATTAGATACTCTTAATCAAAAGCTCATAAAAGGCAAGCTACTGGGTGACCATATATTTAATATGTTATAATATTTTTGTCAAACTAATGAATAGAATAAAATTTGCTACTTGCTTCTAATTGCATTGGGGAAAGAAAAGGATGAGCTCAGGGATTCAGTACAAAGTGTGACCCATGAGGAGGTTCACTACAGATGGATAGATTGCAAAAAATTTCTCCCATTCTGTAGGTTGTCTGTTCACTCTGATGATAGTTTCTTTTGCTGTGCAGAGGCTCTTTAGTTTAATTAGATCCTATTTGTCAATTTTTGGTTTTGTTGCAATTGCTTTTTGCATCTTCGTCACAAAATGTCCTGAATGGTATTGCCTAGATTTTTCTTCCCGTGTTTTATAGTTTCGAGTTTTACATTTAAGTCTTTAATCCATCTTGAGTTGATTTTGTAAGGAAGGGTCCAGTTTCAATTTCCTGCATATGACTAGCCAGTTCTCCTAGCACTATTTATTAAATAAGGAATCCTTTTCCCATTGCTTATTTTGGTCAGGTTTGTCAAAGATCAGATGGTTGTAGGTGTGCAGTCTTCTTTCTGTGCTCTCTATTCTATTGCATTGGTCTTATTCTATTGCATTGGTCTATGTGTCTATTCTTGCACCAGTATGATGCTGTTTTGGTTACTGTAGCCTTGTAGTATAGTTTGAAGTCAGATAGCATGATGCCTTCAGCTTTGTTCTTTTGCTTAGGATTGTCTTGGCTATTGGGGCCCTTTTTTGGTTCCATATGAATTTTAAAATAGTTTTTTTATAATCCTATGAAGAATTTTAATGGTAGTTTAATGGGAATAGTATAGAATCTATACATTGCTTTGGGCAGTATGACCATTTTCAAGATACTGATTCTTCCTATCCAGGAGCATGGATTTTTTTCCATTTCTTTTTGTCATTTCTGGTTTCCTGGAGCAGTGGTTTGTACTTCTCCTTGAAGAGGTCCTTCTCTTCCCTTGTTAGCTGTCTTCCTAGGTATTTTATTCTTTTTGTGGCAATTGTGAATGGGAGTTTATTCATGATTTGGCTCTCTGCTTGCCTGTTTTCGGTGTACAGGAATAATTGTGACTTTTGCACATTGATTTTGTATCCTGAGACTTTGCTGAAGTGGCTTATCAGCTTAAGAAGCTTTTGGGCTGAGACAATTGGGGTTTTCTAGATATAGGACCATATCATCTGCAAGCAAAGATAGTTTTACTTCCTCTCTTCCTATTTGAATACCCTTTATTTCTTTCTCTTGCCTGACTGCCCTGGCCAGAACTTCCAATACTACGTTGAATAGGAGTGGTGAAAGAGAGTATCCTTGTTTTGTGCCAGTTTTCAAGGGGAATGCTTCCAGCTTTTGCCCATTCAGTATGATATTGGCTGTGGGTCTGTCATATATGGCTCTTATTATTTTGAAGTATGTTCTTTCAATACCTAGTTCATTGAAAGTTTTTAACATGAAGGGATGTTGAATTTTATCAAAGGCCTTTTCTGCATCTATTGAGATAATCATATGGTTTTTGTCTTTAGTTCTGTTTACGTGATGAATCACATTTATGGATTTGTGTATGTTGAACCAATCTTGCATTCTGGGGATGAGGCCAACTTGATTGTGGTGGATAAGGTTTTTGATGTGCTTCTGGATTTGGTTTGCCAATATTTTATTGAGGATTATTGCACCAATGTTCATTGAAGATACTGACCTGAAGTTTTCTTTTTCTGTTGTATCTCTGCTAAGTTTTGGTATCAGGATGATGCTGGCCTCATAGAATGCATTAGGGAGGAGTCCCTCCTTTTCAACTATTTGGAACAGTTTCAGGAGAAATGATACCAGCTTTTTTTGTACCTCTGCTAGAATTCAACTGTGACTCCATCCGGTCCTGGGCTTTTTTTGATTGGTAGGCTATTTATTACTGCCTCAATTTTAGAACTCATTATTGGTTTATTCAGGGATTCAATTTCTTCCTAGTTCAGTCTTGGGAGGCTGTATGGGTCCAGGAATTTATCCATTTCTTCTAGATTTTCTAGTTTATGCACATAGAGGTGTTTATAGGATTCTCTGATGGTTGTATTTCCGTGGGGTCAGTGATGATATCTTTCTTATCATTTCTGATTATATTTATTTGAATCTTCTCTCATTTCTTCATTAGTCTAGCTAGTGGTCTATTTTATTAATTTAAAAAAAAACAGCTCCTGGATTCATTGATTTTTTTGAAGGATTTTTTTGTGTGTTTCTATCTCCTTCAGTTCAGCTTGGATCTTGGTTATTTCTTGTCTTTTGCTAGCTTTGGGGTTTGTTTGCACTTGGTTCTCTAGTTCTTTTTGTTGTGATGTTAGGTTGTTAGCTTGATATCCTTCTAGCTTTTTGATGTGGGCATTTAGTGCTATAAATTTCCCCTTGACACTGCTTTAGCTGCATCCCAGAGATTCTGGTACATTGTATCTTAGTTCTCAATAGTTTCAAAGAACTTCTTGATTTCTGCCTTAATTTCATTAATCAACAAGAGTCATTTAGGAGCGGGTTGTTTGATTTCCAGGTAGTTGTGTGATTTTGAGTAAATTTCTTAATCTTGAATTCTAATTTGATTGCACTGTGGTCTGAGAGAATGTTTGTTATGATTTCATTTCTTTCACATTTGCTGAGGAGTGTTTTACTCCTGATTATGTGGTCAATTTTAGAGTAAATGCCATGTGGTAATGAGAATAATGTATATTCTGTTGTTTCTGGGTGAAGAGTTCTGTAAATATCTGTCAGGTCCACTTGATCCAAAGCTGAGTTCAGGTCCTGAATATCTTTGTTAATTTTCTGTGCTCTCTTAACTAATATGGTTAAATCTTCATTGAGACCATTAACAAACATGGAGTTAAGTGCTACTTAAGTGGCATCAGTCTGTTCTTTTGAGAAACCAGAATTTTACTTAAATATTACTTTCTAGTTTATTGGAATAACCATGAACTAGTCTGCCTTCTCTCTGAGCACAAGCCAAAATTTTATTCCAATCTACTGGCTTTGGAAAAGCCATGAGAGTAACTTTAATTAATGTGTCAACCAATTATTTGGCTTTTTCTATATCTTGGAGCAAATTTTGATTTAAATCATCAGAAGAGGCCAAATGTGAGTGGTGTGTGCCTATAGTCCCAGCTACGCAGGGGACTGAGGTGGGAGGATCATTGAACTCAGGAGTTCAAAACCAGCCTGAGCAACATAGTGAGTCACCATATCTAAATAAATAAATAAATAAATCATCAGAAGGATTTTCCCATCCTGACAATTTTTACCCAATGTCTCTCTCCTCCTGGTCCCACCAGTAAATGTATCAGCTGATAGAAATTGAAAACTCTAGGACATAACTTGTACAGACCGTCGAGAATTCCTCGGCAAATCTGAGAGGTCCTCAGTCACCTTGGCAAATCATTTGGCTGTTGCATCACAGGCAACTCAGAACTGGACCAGAGTGTAAGACACCATCAGTAAATTCTCTTTTTTATTTGGGGAGTATTGGAAGGGGTATGTAGGAATTGGGACAGGGGTAGGGAAGGCCATCGTAGGGGTTGCTAGTCAGTTTTGGTTCAGCTGTTTTAGGTGGCTGTAAAGGGGAGGGAATAGGAATGTCGGAGTTCTGCCGGCGGGGCATATGATGAGGTTGAGCGTGAATGTTCTCCTGAAGATTTGATTTGATTTGGTTATTATTTTTTGTGACAGTGTCTTACTATATTTAGCCCAGGCTAGACTTGAACTCCTAGGCTCAGTGATCCCCCCGCCTCAGTCTCCTGAGTTGCTGGAATTGCAGGAACATGCGTGCCCAGCCTCCTGAAGATTTTTATTTAAATGCTCGTTTCCTTTTACTAATTTAGAAACAGTGTCTTGGGAAAACTCTTTTAGATTTCATGGTCTTTTTTATGTGTATCCCTTCTGAATGCTAATTAAAGTATGCTTCCCATGCATTCTGAGAAGTGCAAACCTTTTTATTTCCAAGATGGTATCTTAAAAAAAAAAATAAAAAAAAAAATATATATATATATATATGTTTGGAAAGGTCAAATGAGCCTCCAAGGGGCCACTGTAACTCCAAACTCTGGTCCTTGTCTTTACAAACTGTGAATAGGTTTTTCCTGACCCACTGATGCAAAAGGACTCTTCTACTAACAATTAAAGAATTCTTTGTTTATGAAATAATCTGGCAAACAATTTATGTAATCTAAATAAGTTTCTATCAGTGTGAGCCCTTGCTCTCTTGGGTGGTACAGTTTCTGATTGGTACCCAGGTTGCAGCCCACATTCCTGAGTAAACACTTATTGGCCTGACCGGCTAATTCCTCCTTTTTGTTAGTGGGGAAGCCATGTGACTTCATCCTCCGTGGCTCTGGTGGTCTCTTCCACATCTGTGAGATACTCACTAAAAGCTGGTTGCACTTTGAGATCTGGGCACCTGCTGGAACCTGGAGCCACAAGTCTTCATTCATGCTAAAGAACTCCTGTCTTGGTGGAGGTATTTGCCTTTGTTTGAGTTTCTTGGTAGGGCTCTCCATCTTTTTGCTTGCTCTCGCTTTGTTTTAAGTTCTGACAAGGTGAGAATGGGAGCCTCTGCTTCCAAGCAAATTGAAAGTCCCCCCTGTCCAGGGACTCCAGCTGGTTACATGTTTAAACATGATGGCCCTCTTCTTGTTCGTTTTATCTAAATGACACAATTTCACTAACCAGAGTTTGGAGTTACAGTGGCCCGTTGGAGGCCTTGTATAATGTGTTGTATACTGTTAAGAGCACAGCTGCTGGTGAAGAAAGTGTTTCTCACAGTTCCTTTGTGGGCCTCAGAGTTCCCCAGCAGTTCAGTATGGAGTCAGCCCTGATGACAGGACTCCCTGATGTCAAGCCTGCAAGGGTGTTAAGCTCACGCTAGTCAGGCCTCTCTAAGCCCTTAAGGTACCAACCTGGGGCTCTGACCTTGGCCTGCTTATTCAAGACTCTGTTGAGTCAAAATAGGCAAAATTCCCACCACTACCAAGGTCTCTGATCACCCTTGATATCTAATCAAATTCCTCAGCCCCTACCCTCAATATCGTTATCATCCCGGCCCGCCGTTAGGAGGCCGCAGCGGCCCGACAGATCCAGCTGTGGCTTGCAGGCGCCTCCCTGCTGCGGGCTGGGCCTGGCTCCTGCCCCTGCAGGGGCCATGCTCCCCGGGGCCGGTGGATGAACCAGGAGAGTGGGGAAACCCCCAGCACTCCCTGCCCAGAGCCAGACAGCAGCGTTAGCAGCCTCTGTTCCCTGGGGCTGTGTGACCTTGAGCGGCCCTGCACCCCCTCTGGGCCTGGGCCATCAGTTCTGGCCCCACAAACGACGGCCTGCGGTTCTGGGGCGCTGCTTGCTGAGGGGGGTCTGGCTTTCGCGGCTTGGCTGCTGGATCGCCGAGATAGGCCGCGCGGCGCAGCCTGGACGCCCTGGCTCCACCCACAGCTCTGAGACCTCCAGCGAGCTCTTACCCTTTCCGCACCTCAGTTTCCACACCTGTAAAATGGAGATAATATCACCACGCACTCAGCCCTAACCACTTCATTGCTGTTACTGATACCATTACTGCTGCTATGTCGTTTTTTGATGGCACTGCCCTTAGGGAAGGGGGATCAAGGGAAAAACCGGTACCTTCCCGCAGGAGGTGGGCTGGGCACAGCCCTGAACCATGGAGGTCTCCCACCCTGAGGTCGGGACCTGGGTTCCCTTCCTATCCACTGGGGGTCCCAGTCGTTGTCTTCATCTCTCCAGGTCCCAGCCCTTCACAGTGGGCACCTCTCTGCCTGTGAGGGAGGCCTCAGCCAGCCCCTAATCCCCTCTCCAAAAAAAAAAAAAAAGGCTGCGTAGCCAGTATTTACAGACGCTAAGTTGCTTATTAAAAATTATCCCATTGAATCCTACCAAGCAGGTAATTTACTGTACCCATTTCTCAGATGAGGAAACTGAGGCACTGAGGTTTCTCAGAGCCAGCAGGTAAACCAGCCATTCGGCCTGAGTGACAGGCCGGTGCAGTGCTCTGCGGCTTAGTCTGCTCTGAGCGCCTGCCGGATCCTCACAGCGATCCTGGTTTGTACCCCCGCCCACAGTGGCTCGGCTGGCCCGTCTATGGGAACCCATGAGGCTGTCTGCATATCCCGAAGTGTGACCTTCCAGGCCCACAGGGTGGCTGGCGCTGCGCTTCTTCGTGGCCCGCGACAGTGCGGCCACCTTCATCGGCCAGTGGCGCACTGATCTGGGCGAGCCCGAAATGCTCCGCGAGCTGGCGAGGGAGACACTGGGCCTCTGCACCCGGTCAGCTCCCCAAGATAAAGGCCTCGGAGGGGAAGTTCCGCGTGGGAGACTCCGGCCTGTTGATCTCTGTGAGGGTGCCCGGGAGCCGCCTGACGGCGCGCCTGGGTGTGGCGACCCGCTGGAGCGCTACCTGGACAGTCAGGACCCGCGCCGCCGCTCCTCCACCACCCACCGCCCGCCCCCGTCGAGGGTCCGCACCCTGTCCCCGCAGAGGGTGTCGCCCACCCCTAGCCCCTGCCCTGGTAGCCTGGTCCCCGCGAGAGAGCGCCGGCGCTCCGGACCCTAGGTGACCCCTATTCGCTTACAAAGCATAAAGCAGGGGCCGAGGCTCCCAGGCCCTGGGATCAGCTGCCCGCCGCATCCCCGCTCCTACTCTGAGGACAGTGACTCCTCAGCTTTCTCAGCCCAGAGCCGCCCCCTTGGTGCCCGCAGCGAGGATGAGGCACTAGGCCGGGAGGAAGAGACCCAGACGGGGGCTGACCACCACCACCTGGCCTCTCCGAGACGGCCCCCTGCCCCGCGCAGCCAGTCCCGGGACGGGCTGGATCCGAGTCGGCCCCGGGGAGCTCCAGGAGAGAGGGGAGCCCAGCTGCGGCCCTCAGCCCTGCCCGGTGGGCGCAGGAGCAGACTGGGCTCAAGGATGGAGATGGGCAGCACTCGTGGGAGCCACAGGGCAGGGGCAGCGGGGCTCGGGCAGGAGCACCCCTGGGCTCTCCATGCCCACCGCCCTGAAGCACCCTGGCTTTCCCAGTCCAACCCCAGTTTAGAGTTTAGCACCACACGCGCCAGCGTCTTCCGCACACACCAGAGCAGCTGCTCTGACGCCTGGACAAGGAGTTTCTGGCCAATGCCGGGACCCATAAGGCTGTTGCTGGCGGGACCCCCACTGGACCAGCCCCTAACCGGGCTCCAGCCCCAGACCCTCTAGCTCCTGACTCGGCCTACAGATCCTCCAGTTCCTCCTTTTCATCCCTTATTCTCTTATGTGGCAAACGTGGCCAACCTGGGGACTCTGGCCTTAAGACCAACGGGCTGCCCGGCCCGCTGTCAAGCCCTTCCCAGCTCCTCCTCCGATGAAGGAAAGCCCTGCCCTGGCATGGGAGGGGCTACTAGATGCACCTGGGAGCCCCCTGACTGGTCCAGAACACTGGAGGACCTGAGCACTGGGTAGGATGGACACACAGCCAGACTGCAAACCCTCAGGCATCCCCATGCTTAGGGTCTCCCCCCGGTTCCTCCAGACACACAGAGTTGGAGGGTGCGGGGGGAAGGGGAAGGGAGCTTGCATGCCTCCAGCCAGGTTCCTGGACCAGCCCAGCTGCCCCCAAACCCTATCCCTTCTCCTTTTCGTTTGTGGCCTTAACCCCCTCTGCATCAGGGGGCCCTCTCTGCCTCTTGCGTTCCTGACCTCATGGGACCAGACTCCTCAGGAATGTCACAATGGGACCTCTATTGTACATTACAGTTGGGGGATGAGCTTTGCTATTTAATCGCTAATATTATTGAATGCCTTAGAGGAGGGCAGAGCAGCCTGGTATCCTGAGGACACGTGGCCCAGCAGAGCCCCTGAACAGTAAAGTTTTGCTCCAGCCAAAATGAGAGAGAGAATCTATTAAGTTAGTTTAACCAGAACCCCCCTTATCCCTGATGCTTCCTCTTAGTAATTTTGTGTCCAGTGACCCCTGTCCCTTGGCCATAAATTCCTACTTGTACTTGTTCTATTTGGAATAGAGCCCAGTTCTGTACTGATGTCTCTTTTCCCCTACTGAGATAGCTTCTGAATAAAAGTTGCCTTTGCTGCTTTAACTTCTGTCTGACACTGGTTTTCTTTGACAATAGTCTGCCCTGCCCCGTGATCTTGCCTCGGCCGTCAGTCTGAATTCAAAACATTCTCCGCAGCTAGGAAAGGCAGCACAGGGGGGGTTTCTTCCACAGGAGGAGACAGCTTTCAGGAACGGCCTTGAACAACAGAGATCACGAATGCCTTCCCCCTTCCTGGACCTTCCAGATACTAGGATTTTGTTTTTTCTCTCATTATTGCAAAATCAGTGTGTCCTTTTCAGCAATCATAACTTTACATTTTTGAAATCATACCTTACTTTCATTCAGACATGTCGTCAGGAAGGATTGTCTGGAAGAGGAATAAAAACATTGTCACAGGAAAACATTATTATGCAATTTAAAAGACACGCCATGTTCAGAAATTAGGACAAAATCTTGAATTTAAAAAAAAATTCAAGGCCGGGTGTGGTGGCTCACACCTGTAATCTCAGCACTTTGGGAGGCCGAGGCGGATCACGAGGTCACAAGATCTAGACCATTCTGGCTAACATGGTGAAACCCTCTCTCTACTAAAAATACAAAAAATTAGCCGGGTGTGGTGGCGGGCACCTACATGTAGTACCAGCTACTTGGGAGGCTGAGGCAGGAGAATGGCGTGAACCCAGGAGGCGGAGTTTGCAGTGAGCAGAGATGGCGCCACTGCACTCCAGCCTGGGCAACAGAGCCAGACCCCATCTCAAAAAAAAAAAAAAAATTCAACATGGGTTTAAACAGATCAGCTTGCTTTACTGAAGTGCGTACACCAGGAGAAACATAAGGAAGGCTGTTGTTGCAAGCTGCAAGTAATCCAGAAAGCCAAATAAAATAATCAACAGACAGCAGCAAGACCCCCAAAGGGGGTCAAGAGTCCAATCTGCCAGGAGTGGGCAGGGAGTTCAGAGTCCCTGTGATGTGTCCACCCCAAACTTGTTTGGGGCAGAAATCACAAGTTTAGGAATGAAACTAGTTTTTGGGTCAGACATATGAGGCTGATCAGAAGTGTGATTGCAGATGGTCCCATAAGAGAACAAGCCCTTTCTTGTGGGCATTTGTGTGTGATGCACACAGTCTAGCCAGCATCCATGAAGTTTTCATAGTTTGGGATCCCATGCAGGCATGTCCTAATCTGCAATGATACCAGAGTCTGAGTTCTGTTTATTGTGCTTACAGAGTTTTTCGTTCAGCACGGTTTGTGCTGAGGCTGAAACAGCCAGCAGCAGATAGTATAAGGTTTCATCTCAGAGTCAGGTCCAGGCAATTAGGATCTGTGAGTTAGGATTCCCCACAAAAAGCCAACAGCTTTTGTTCCGCTGTAGCAAAGCCAAAGCCCTGAAGAGTGGGAAAGCAGTGTTGCTGGTCCCAGTGACGGGCAAGGCTTTCCTAAGCCCTGTTTGGCTTGTTATTTGCTGAGTCCAAATGGACCCACTCAAAAATATGCTCAGAGGCCAGAAAATTATCAGCCTCTAAGGCGCAGGCATCTGATCTTACAAGAGCTCATTAGGAACTAAAAACTAATATTTAAAATTCTAAAAGTGTATTAGAGAGTGCCTGTCTTTTCATATTGTCTCCCTTTTATCAGAGGCTCCCATAGGTGAAAATCATACTAAAAATTGTCAGTTATAGAAATTATTTTCCTTTTAATACTCAAAAACTTGCATTTCAATTCCCTCACCAGCAGCAGCAAGCAAGGCAGTTGTATACCATCCTGGGTTTTGTTTGCTTTTGGCAGCTTTCCTGATCAGGATGATTCCTCCAATGTTTATGAAATTACAAGCATAGAATATGTTTCTTATCATCTATCTAGATGCAGTAGCCATAAGACACAAAGCCAGCTTTTAAAAACTCCCTTTCATTTCAAGTTTTTAAAATTTTCCATTCCATTGCAAGTTTACGCAAACCTCCAACAGTGCAATTAGCATTTGAGAGTTAACATGGAATGGGGGATGGGAGGCTCTCGCATCTGAAATGGGTTTTTCTTTTCTTTCTTCTTCTTTTTTTTTCTTGTTTTTAGAAGTTTTTCTTTTTTCCAGTTTATCTAATGCTTTGCCCCAGCCCTAGTACCTAATTTAACTTTTTGTAGAAGAGAACAGCACAAACTTTTAGCATTTTAGGTCCACCTGAAATTCACCTTTGGGAATGCTTGGGCCCCTTCTTTTCCTACCTGGAGGGAAAAATAAAAACCTAAGGCAACACCTGGGCTTTTTGTTTTTTGCCCAACTGGCAGGTGTTTACCAATTTACTCTTCCACTGCCAGGATTTGAAAGAACACAGGCTTTCCACGCAAGTTTCCCTTTAGAGGTTGGAGAATGTGCTGTGCACTGTTGAGAATATGACGCTACACTGTTTTGTATTTATCTTTTCTTAATAAATATATGTAACGTAACATTTGCCATTATAAGTATTTCGAGTTACAATTCAGTGGCATTAACGACATTTACAATGTTGTACAGCCATCACTGCTATCTATTTCGAAAATTTTTTCAAGAATGACTACACCCCAGATCTGAAGCTATTCTGGAGCAAAAACACACATCAGGATGGCACTTCCATCACTCACATACACACACGCTGCAGACCCCAGCTTCTATTGTTCATATACACACACCCTGCAGACCCCAGCTTCCATAGCTCACATACACACACGCTGCAGACCCCAGCTCACATCGCTCACACACACGCACCCTGCAGGTCCCAGCTCACATCTCTCACACACATGCACCCTGCAGGTCCCAGCTCACATCTCTCACATACACACAACCCTGTAAACCCCAGCTTCCATCGCTCACACACACACACCCTGCAGGTCCCGCTTCCATCGCTCACATACACACACGCTGCAGGTCCCAGCTTGTAGTGGAGGTGATTTTGTTTCCTGTGATTCCTTAAAACTCAGGAAGTCTGCTCCAAGTTCTCTTCCCCAGTGGAATAACATTACAGTGCCCTCCTTGACAAGGAAATTTTAGTGATTGGCACCTGCTTTGGCTCTTACTCATTGTGAAAAGTGGTGATTTCACAACTGTGATAGTTATCTATTGCTGCATAAAAACTACAACAAACTTGGCGGCTCAAAACAACACACATTTCTTATCACACAGTGTTTATGAATGAGGAGTCCAGGCACAGCTTAGCAGATCCTCTGCTCAGGGGCCCCCCTGAGGCTGTAATCTGGGTGTCTGATAGGCTGGACGAGGGAAGAATCTGTTGTTGGCAGAATTTCAGCTCCACGGGCTGAAGGACTGAGGGCCTCAATTTCCACTTCTCTTGACAAGAGGCTGCCCTCGGTGCCCTGCCCTTTGGACACGTGGACCCTCTAAGTTCAGTGCAGTGAGTAGGAGCAGACATGTGAGCACTGGAGTGCTTTAGAGAGGTATTCTTGGATAAAAAGCACTGATGTCTAAAGACATGGAATTATCGTTCTCAACAGAGCAACATCAGTACTGAGAAGGCAAATTCATCATCTACTGGTACCTACTTCTATGCCTGCAATAGCTATTTTTGTCTCAATTTTAAAATTATTCTTTAGCTTCCCAGCTGCTAGAAGTGGAACAGTTATCTTTGCGAATGAAAATGACTAACCCCTCCTGACAATTCCAACTCCCTCCCAACCAAGGCTCAATATTTCTCATTTGTTTTACTTTCAAAGGAATATATATGATTGTAAGACCAGGCATCCGTGGCTCACACCTGTAATCCCAGCACTTTGGAAGGTTGAGGCGGGCAGATCGCCTGAGGTCAGGAGTTCAAGACCAGCCTAGCCAACAGGGTGAAACCCCATCTCTACTAAAAATACAAAAAATTAGCCAGGTGTGGTGGTGCGTGCCTGTAATCCCAGCTTACTCAAGAGGCTGAGGCAGAAGAATCACTTGAACCCGGGGGACACAGGTTACAGTGAGTCAATGTTGCTCCACTACACTCCAGCCTAAGGAACAGAGTGAGACTCTGTCTCAAAATATATATATATATATATATGATTGTAAAATGACTTCAATACAACTGTCAATACAACAGTGTAAGGCATATTGTTAAAGAAAAAAAGTGCTAAACCAAATATAATATGTACCTTATGGTGGGAAAGAAAAAGAGAGAATAAGAAGCTGTATTTCTACTTGGTTTGGTATGCATAAATATATCTGGAAGGGTGAATAAAGAAACCAACAAAGCATATTATAGGGGTGAGGGTGGAGAAGTGACCCAGATGTTTTCAAACCTTTCATTTGTTATATTTTTTTGAAGAGGTATGGAACCAGCAATTTACCTGTTGAAAAAAAGTACTTTGTTTAAATTACGACAAAAAGGCCTGACACAGCAACTCATTCCCGTAATCCCAGCGCTGTGGGAGCCTCAGGCAACAAAAATTAGCCAGATGTGGTGATGTACGCCTATAGTACCAGCTACTCAGGAGGCTGAGGCAGGAGGATTGCTTGAGCCCGGGAGGCAGAGGATGCAATGAGTCGAGATCGCACCACTACACTCCAGCCTGAGCAACACAGTGAGACCCTGTCTCAAATTTTAAAAATAAATAAATAATAAATAATTTTAAAAATTAAAAAATTGTTCCCTACACAGCATCCTAATGTCCCTATCAATGCTAGAGATCATTCCCAATATTCTTATAGCAATTTCCAGCCAGGGCTTCTCAGCCTCAGTCCTATTGATTTTGAAGCCAGTTAATTCTTTGTTACGAGTTGTTTATCAGCATCCCTGGCCTATTCACCCAGGCATGAAAATCAAAAATGTCTATTGACATTGCCAAATGTCCCCTGGTCTGAAATCTCCCTGAGTTGAAGACCACTTTACTAGACTCTCTCTATGCATATTGCTACATCTGCATATCAAAATACACATATATGGTAATTTGCAGCATTTTTCATAGCTTTTCTTCATTCTTAAATTCATTCTTCCAAAAATATACTTTATTTTTGAAAACGATAAAACAAAATCTTCAACTATGAACTAACAAAATAGAGGTGAGTTGGCACCGGTGGGCCAATTCTTAACGTGGACATTTTAAAATGCTGTTTTCCATATTACATCAAAATGATCTGCAATAAGAAATTGAAAGGGGGTGCAAAGGAGGGTGCAAAGCATGTACTGAGGTCTTTCTACAGGTACGTGATAGAAGGCTGATTCAGCATGATAAAATGTACTTTGCAACAGCGGCCTTCAAGCTGTGCTAGAGCAAGCGTACCCCAAGGAACCTGTGAAAATCATTTTTTAATTATTCTAAACAGAAAAAGTGGTACCCACTTAAATAAGCACAAAGTAAAACTTCATGGTAAGATCTGCTGTAAAGCTACTTGCTATAGCCCACAGATTCAGTTTGTTCAACAACCTCCTTCATTGACAGAAAAAGTCAGCAAATAAGACTTAGGACAAAAATATTTTCTATCAACCTCCACACGAAAAGACCACAGCTTTAATGATTTTTACAATCCTTAAGCTTAATCACTGGTCAGTACAGATTTCCATATCAAGATCAAGTCATGAACTGTTCACAATAGCTATTCTATACTAAGATGCTAAGCGTTTTCTTTCCAGTATGTCTTCCTATGAGGGAAATAAAATAGCGGGAAGTTTTCCTCTTCGCCTGTGAGGGGATTTATGAAAAGCCTTCTAATCTACAAGTGTTCTTCTGCGAAACTAAAATACATTATGAAGTCAAACAGGTAAATTATCAACAAAACCAAACTGATCTCAACAAAGTCTTGTTTCCAAAGTAAAATCTATTAAGAACAAGCAATATACAAGCACAAGAAATTACAAGAAATGAGGATCATAGTTAGTTACAGATGCAAAGTAGTATCTAGCATCCCAAGCTTTTGGACATAATAATGAAAATCAAATTAATAAGTTAGTTCAAGTATTATGTACAATTTTGATAAGCTGGTCACGTGTTATTTGAATACACACCATATGTGGTAAACCTAAAAGTATATTACCTTTTCTCCTCCTTTAATATTTGTAGATACATGCCAATATGGGAAAAAAAGTATTTCCATTTATGTACTAATAACAGAGAATAACAGAATTTCTACTGTGTATATTTCACACTGTTAAAAAAAAGTTGGCTGGGCACAGTGGCTCATGCCTGTAATCCCAGGACTGTGGGAGGCTGACGTGGGTGGATCACAAGGTCAGGAGTTAGAGACCAGCCTGGCCAACATAGTGAAACACTGTCTCTTCTTAAAATTCAAAAATTAGCAGGACATGGTGGTGCACACCTGTAGACCTAGCTACTCAGGAGGCTGAGGCAGAAGAATCCCTTGAACCCAGGAGGCAGAGGTTATGGTGAGCCGAGATTGTGCCACTGCACTCCAGCCTGGGCAACAGAGTGAGACTCCATTTCAATAAATACATAAATAAATAAATAAAAGGCCAGGCGTGGTGGCGCACACCTGTAATCCCAGCACTTTGGGAGGCCAAGGCAGGCGGATCACAAGATCAAGAGATCGAGACCATCCTGGCCAACATGGTAAAACACTGTCTCTACTAAAAATACAAAAATTAGCTGGTGTGGTGGTGTGCACCTGTAGTCCCAGATACTCGGGAGGCTGAAGCAGGAGAATAGCTTGAACCTGGAAGGTGGAGGTTGCAGTGAGCTGCGCCACTGCACTCCAGCCTGGTGACAGAGTGAGACTCTGTCTCAAAAAAAAAAAAAAAAAAAAATTAAGGTGTATTTTCCTTTAAGAAAGAAAAAAAATAAACTGCAAGAAGTTTAATTTATAAAAGTTTAATATCGACTTATTTATAAAAATGAAAAAAAAAAAAACGTTTTAAAACAGATCCCATACAATTATCCTGTGGTCTCCCTACTGATCAGGAACTACAGAAGACACTTAAGGAAGGGATGCTGGGTCAAAAACAAAGCCTAACCCGCGGGATGTATGTTGCTCTAAAAATCTGATTTGCAGGAAAACTAGTTGCTTGTCCTAGGTTTAAGCTAATTACAAAATCCGTTTTCTTAGTGGTCCAGATATTTTGCCAATTTTTCCATCTCAACAGAACTTCTGTTGATTTCCACATTCATTACAGTCAACAAACGTTGCCATTGGTTCACCAACACTGCAGGCTTGTACCTGTGTGGAAGTGCAATTCTTTTTACATTTGCCACATGTGAGCGAATCAGGCTGGGTTCCACCTGTCTTGGCCATCTGATGCTCTCTGATGGCTTCTTTCGTCAAGTTTTTGTGCATCTCTTTGAGCTCATCGCTAGCCATTTCTTCTGCGGACATTCTAGCAAGTAAGTCAGGAGGAATATTCCCACACGATGCATTTTTCCTTAAATTTGGATTCTTTGCATCTGTAAGATTTGATATCTTACTTTGGACTCTATTTTTGTACTTCATGCCTGTATTCCCTCTTTCTGGATCTACAGCTTCCTCAATTCGAGATCCTAATTCTTCCTCATCAGCTCCCATTTCAATGCAGTCATCTCCTGTTCGAAGAGCTGCAGCAAGCATCTCCCTGTACTTCATCCGCACAGAATTAGAAGCGCTTCGTGCCGAGGAACAGATGAAACAAATATCTCAAGCATTTGTTTTATCCTTTCTGCTGCTTACGTTGCCGCTGGAGCTACTTTCTTTTGCTATTCTGTGATGTCATTGCAGGTTCTATTCGCTTTTCGTTGGGGTCTTTCTCAGTTGATGGCTCATCTGGTAACGTTTTCCAGGATTTGACGAAAGACTTTGCTAGAGATGTAACTTCTTCATCTGTACTCTGCTTGAGACTAACATTAAGTAACATTCCAGTTCCTGTGGACCGCAGTAATTCCAGAACATTCTGAAGCTCGGTTAACAAACCCAGTGCTCCGGCCGTGTTCTTCTCCTGCACTATCTCGTCCATCTTCTTAGCACTGCGGGCCACCTCATCCTCCGTGGCTCCGGCAGGTCTCCTCCGTGCCTAGCCCGCTGGCAAGGGGAAGTGGGCGAAACCGGAGCAGAGGGGAGGGCGGGAAGCAGCCCCGGCGCGGCAAGACCCACCACCGCAGGCTGGGCCTAGGCCTCCGCCTAGACCAATCCCGCCCACGGCTCTTCCTCCCCAGGCAGCGCCAACCCAGCTCCGCACCCTCCCAGCTTCATTCAAGTATGACTGACAAATAAAAATTATATATATTTAGGATATGCAACATGATTTTTTGTTTTGTTGTGTTTTATACAAATAAGAAACTACAGTTCAGGGAGATACTGCATTTTGAATGCCTAACTTTTCTCTCAATGCTCTTTCAACTTGCTTTTCTTTATTTTTGATTGACAAATCATAAACATTTATGGGGTACAATGTGATGTGTGTGTATATACACACACACACACACACACACACACACACACACACACCAAATATGGGATGATTAAATCAAGCTGATTAACCTATCCATCACCTCACTTCTTTTGTTTACCACAGAACCATCAAGTCCAAATCCCTTTTTTTTTGAGACAGGGTCTCGCTCTGCTGCCCAGGCTGGAGTGCAGAGACACAATCTCGGCTTACTGCAGCCCTGACCTCCCAGGCTCAAGTGATCCTCCCACCTCAGCCTCCCGAGTAACTAGGATGACAGGCTCGTACCACAACACCCAGCTAATTTTATGTTTTATTATTTTTGTGTGTGTGTGGAGATAGGGATCCCGTATGTTGCCCAGGCTGGTCTCAAACTGTTGGGCTTTAGTGATCCACCCACCTTGGCCTCCCAAAGTGCTAGGATTACAGGTGTGAGCCACCATGGCTGGCCTCTTCTTTTTTAATGCAGGCTTTTCTTGCTATAAATTTCCCTCTTAGAACTGCTTTTGCTGCATCCCATAGGTTTTGGTATGTTTTGTTTCCATTTTTCTTTGTCTCAAAATGTTTCATTTTCCCCTTTGATTTCTTCTTTTACCCATTGATTGCTTAGAAGCATGTTGTTTAATTTCCATGTATCTGTGAACTTTCCCGTTTTTCTCCCATTATTGATTTCCAGTTTCATACCATTGTGGTCCCAAAAGAAACTTGATATGATCTATATCTTCTCAAATTTATTAAGATTTGCTTTGTGGCCCAACATTTGCTCTGTCCTGGAGAATGTTCCATGTGTGCTTGAGAAGATGTGCATTCTGTTGTTATTGGATGGAATGTTCTCTTTATGTCTGTTAAGTCCATTTGGTTTAAAGTTTAGTTCAAGTCTAATGTTTTCTTACTGTTTTCCTGTCTGAATGATCTATCCATTGTTGAAAGTGGAGTATTAAAGTCCCTTGCTATTATTGTATTGCCGTCTATTCCTCCCTTTAGATCTGTGAATATTTGCCTTATATATTTAAGTGTACCCGATGTTGGGTGCATATTATTTACAACTGTTCTATCCTCTTTATGAATTGACTCCTCTATCATTATATAATAACCATCTTTGTCCTGTTAGTTTTTGACTTAAAGCCTAGTTTGTCTAGTATAACTACCCCTGTGCTCTTTGCTTTCCATTTGCATGGAATATCTTTTCTCGTCCCTTCCCTTTCAGTCTGTGTGTAGCTTTAAAGGTGAAGTGAGTCTCTTGTAGCAACATATAGTTGGGTCTTGTTTTTTCTTTTCTCTTTTTTTTGAGACTCAGTCTCACTCTGTCTCCCAGACTAGAGTGCAGTGGCGCAATCTCGACTCACTGCAACTCTGCCTCACAGGTTCAAGCAATTCTCCTGCCTCAGCCCCCCTAGTAGCTGCAACCACAGGCATTTGCCACCACACCCAGCTAATTTTTGTATTTTTAGTAGAGACGGGGTTTTGCCATGTCGGCCAGGCTGGTCTCGAACTCCCAGCCTCAAGCAGTCCACCCACATCTGCCTCCCAAAGTGCTGGGATTACAGGTATGAGCCACCAGGCCTGGCCTTGTTTTTGTATTTTTTAAATCCATAAAGCCACCCTGTGTCTTTTGATCAGCAAATTTAGTTCATTTACATTTAAAGTAATTATTGATAGAGAAGGATTGATTATTGTCATTTTGTTGATTGTTTTCTGGTTGCTTTGCAGCTCTTTTACTATTTTTTTCCTCTCTTGCTGTCTTTATTTGTGATTCGAGGATTTTCAGTTGTGGTATGCTTTGATTCCTTTCTCTTCATCTTAGCGTATCTGCTAAGTTTTTGCTTCATGATTGCTATGAGGCATATTAAAACATCTTATAGTTATACTAGTCCATTTTAAGCTAACAACAACTTAACTTTGATCCTGTATAAAAGCTCTGCACACACACATACACATTCTGTTTTTGATATCACACTTTACATCTTTTATGTTGTGTATCACTTAATGAGTTATTATGAAGTTATTCTTAATACTTTTGACTATATATGTACCTTTACCAGTGAATTTTATACTTTCATATGTTTTCATATGATTAATTAGCAGCCTTTCATTTTCAGTTTGAAGAACTCCTTTTAGTATTTCTTGTAAGGCAAGTCTAGTGTTAATGGACTTCCTCCCTCTGTTTGTGTGAAGAAGTCTTTATCCCTCCCTTATTTATGAAGGAGAATTTTGCCAAGTAATGTATTATTATTGTGGTTTTTTAATAGGATCATACTATAAACATTGTTCTGAAGTTTGTTTTTTTGTACTTACAGTTATCCTGCACACCTTTTCATTACACACAGATACAACTATACACACAGATACAACTCATTCTGCTTAACCATCACATGTAACCGTAACTTAAAATCTCATTATAGATAAACTTATAGATTCTTTTCAGTTGTTTTATATTATAAATTATGCTACAGAAAAATCTTTGAATATGTGACTATAATATCCATGCTTGTGTGACTACTTTTGTAGACTATAAGTGGATTCATTGAGGCAAACAGTATGTACTTTTTTACAAAGCATAAATATTCCCAATTTTTTGATCAACAAAATTACATCAACTTACCAGTAAATGAGGGGACCCACTTCTCCACACTCACACCAACCCTAAATATTATTTAATCTATTTAATTTTATAAAACTTAGAGGTTAAAAATAAGAAGTCTCAGCTTTGCAAGATGAAAAGAGTGTGAGGATGGGCAGTGGTAATGGTAACAGAGCAACATAAATGTCTAATGCCACTGAACTGCACTCTTCAGTGTATTTTGCTGCAATTTTTAAAAAATAAAAAACATGGCTCTCATACAAAAATGTACCACATCACTTTCTCAGTAAAATTATTTTAGCAAAGTTCTAGTGGTAACAGAAATCAAAACCTTAAAAACATGCATATTCTTCAAATCAGTAATTTCATTTCTAGAAATGTATTCTAGAAAATCTGGCAAGGGAATAATATTATAAGGGGAATAATATCGTAAATACATTTGGCATGAAGTTTTTCAAACAATGACAAGTGGAAAACCACCTCAATGTTTCAGAATACGGGACTGATTAAATATCACTGCGTATCACCACACAATTAGCTATTTACAATTATGATCTAGATGAAGAATTGAAACATGAAATTTTGTTCCAGTATTTTGTTTTGTTGAAAAAAGCAGATCACAAAACAGTGTATGTGTGTGTGTGTGTGTGTAATGCTTTTCAAGTGATTAATCTAGACAATTATCTGACAAGCATCCAGAGATCATGTTAAAACTTTACGCAGATGAAGCTTGCGGAACCTGTCTGAACACTTTATTCGCACAAAAAACTACATCCACCATCTCTGAGTGCTCATTCTGGGCCAGGCCTTTTATGTATACAGCTCATTTAGTCCTCACAGCATCCCTTCATGGTAGACACTTTCATTATTTCTGTTGTGTAAATAATGACTCAGGAAAATTGAGTGCCAGGCCCAGGCTCACAGCCAGGCCTGGACTGGGCTTGGCTTACCTGGTGGGAGATGCAAGGGCTCAGGGTGATCTCCAGAGCGGGAGATGCTACACAGATGTGGAAACCTACCATCATTTCTCCAGAGGAGGGAATGCACGGTACAGCCCATGCTGTCTGACAGTGGGAGGGAGAGGAAAAAAAAGGAATGAGTCCCAAACCTCTTTTGTTTCTTTCTATGGCTCCCAGGAGCTTGTTTTTCACCAAGATTGTAGGATGTTGGTTTTCAAGGCTACCATGTAGCTGGGAGGATGTGATGAGCATAGAGCAAATAAGAACATTACAAATCTCACTATTCTAACCAAAATTCAGCCTATGTTCTTGAATAAATGCTCCGAGATTACAGCAAACCTTTGGATATTTTCCGGAGTTCTGAAAAAGTTGCTTCTATTTTTCTGAGTTGCTTTTATGAAGACAGGAATTTTAGAAGGTTCCTAGCTTGCCATTTTTACTGACATCACTTCCAAATACACTTTTTTTTTTTTTTTTTTTTTTTTTGAGATAGAGTCTCGCTCTGTTGTCCAGGCTGGAGTGCAATGGTGTGGTCTTGGCTCACTGCAACCTCCGCCTCCCAAGTTCAAGCAATTCTCCTGCTTCAGTCTCCCTAGTAGCTGGGATTATAGGTCCACGCCACCATGCCCAGCTAACTTTTGTATTTTTAGTAGAGATGGGGTTTTGCCATGTTGGCCAGGCAGGTCTCGAACTCCTGAACTCAGGTGATCCTCCCGCATCAGCCTCCCAAAGTGCTGGGATCACAGGTGTGAGCCACTGCGCCCGACCCCAAATACGCTTTTAAATACATTTCTGAACTCACAAAAATGTAGAGGAAGTACAAAATGATTACACACACACACACGCATGCACGCAAACAATCTAGAGGTGAAACTAAAGTCATCAGTCAACACAGAAGCCAGAGATGCCCTGGAAGTGTGCCAAAACCAAAAACCTAGAGCTTTGTTAGTTAATATTGCGGCTGCCTGAGGTAGTACATAGGAATTGGGGCAATCAATAGGAAAATAAAAATACTTTCTTTTTTAAAGAGCTGGGAATGAGATGTCAATAGGGGACACTGAAATGCTCTGACACATTCCTGGGAATCTAGAATTTTTCTGGTTAACTGACTAACAGGATTTGAACCTGATAAGGTAGGAAACTGAATCTGAGACCTCCACATAAATCCAGGCACCAAAATGGGCTACATATTTAGTGGAAAAGACAAAGCTGGAAGGATATGACAAGTGAACCAATAAGCAAATCAGTCTCTGCAGGCGGTGGGTTGTAAAACATTAATAATTTTAATAGTCTTCCCTAATGTTTTCTAACCAGCTTTACTTTTATGCTGGAATTTGAATTTACACCATACTCATAGTCCAAGAAAACTCAAACCAATAAATCTAACTAGAATGGTTCCTGATTGGTCCTGCTTCCAGAGCCAAGCAGAAACCAAGCAAATCATCTCAATTTCGGTCTCTCAGGAAACCCAAAGTTAAAGTTTAGACAAATATGAGCTATTTATAAAATTTAACAAAGAGTTGAAGTGTCAAACTACCATAAGCAGGAGTCAACAGAAACCATAAAGAGAAGAACAAGACATAGAAAAATACAAATATTAAAATTATAACAAACTTTATACTCAGGAAGTAGGTTTAAAAGCATGTTTAAAGTGAAAAGATAGAGATCAGCACGATGACTATGGGGAGCATTAAAAGGGGCCATTGGTCCACTCTGGAACTTCAAAGTAGGTTTTCTGAAAAAGATGATGCTTGAGCTTAGGCTTGAAGGACAGTAAATAATTAACCAGGAGGAAAAGTGGTGAGGGAGTTTCAGAGAAAAAGATCATAATGAACAAATACATGGAAGCACTGAATAGCAGAGGGACTTCAGGGGAAATTATAAACATTTACCTATTACTACAAATAGGTAACAAAGGTAGAGCAGAGAGGAACAGGAGATGCCTGTCCATTACATTAAGAAGTATAGACATTATTTAATAGGAAATAGGAGTCAAAAAAGGATTTTAAGAAGGGAAGTCTCAGGATAATTTTGTTTTAGGTAGTCTGTGTTTCAGTGGTGAGGGCAGAGGGGCAACACTGAAGTGTCAGGGATCAGTTAGGAGGCTACTACACAGCTTAGGTGAGAGATGTTGATGGTCTGAAAACCAGGGTGGTAGTAAGAATTGAGAGGAGAGACAGGTTTGAGAAACGGCAGAACACATTAGCACAACTTGTGATTGACTAGCTATGTGGAAGACAGCCAAAGCAATCCTATGCAAAAAGAATGAAGCTGATGGCATCACACTACCTGACTTAAACCATCTACAAGGCTACAGTGACCAAAGCAGCATGGCCCTGGTACAAAAACAGACACACAGGCCAATGGAACAGAAGCTTTACTTCTGAGGAGTAAATGAGAAAACACCTGTCTGTGAATGCACACCTTGATGAACATGGGGTGCTCTACAAATGGAAGCATCACGAACGACAACAACTACCTTTTTATGCAAATGAAAAAGTGGAGCCCCAGTAGTGACAGAGGCTTGTTCAAGATCACACAGCAACTTGACCATGGTGATAGGACTGAAAACCCCAAAAAAGGCCAATAGAGACTTACCTGCCCGTGGGGACACTGTGAAACTTGAATAATGGTGACAGCAAACCTGCAGGAATAGAAACAGAGTTTGGGGCCTTGGGGTTCCCTCCCAGCACAGCCCCAGGAGCAGCCCCCGTGAAAATGGCTCAGATCCCACCCACCCACACCTACCTGTCCCCCTTGGGAGGGCTGATTCCCGGGCCTCCATGGACATCTCTCCCCAGTCGGTCACCCTGCTTGTGCCAAAGTAGGCACACACTAAATTCATTCATTCACCTGCCCTCATGGAGGACATAGTCTTGGAATCCGTGACGGCAGAGCAGGAGGCCCTTAGAGAGCTCATCCTCCCTCCCCTCACCATTCAGGTGGGAGCTGGAAGTCCAGGGTTGGCAAGGGATTTATCCAAGTCACACATGGGCATGGGCAGACTCAGGTCTCCTGACTCCATGGCTAAGGATCTTCCTGCCTCTATGTGACCTGTTTGTAGACTCTGCTCAGAAGTCATGAGCCTTGATGCTTTACCCCACCCCACCCCCCACATGCATTCCTGGTTCTGTTCCAGCTTGGGCCATACTCCCATGGTGCCCAAGGTGCTGATCGATTCCCACCACCATGTTCTCTCCTGGGCAAACGTCTGTCAGAGGCTGATGAGATGATGTTATGCCACATCTAACCCTGGATACCCTCTATTTAAATTTCTATAAAGCAGATCACTTACAAACTTTATGATTGTAGCCACTGGTGTATCAGTTGCTTGTGAGGCCCCTGCCCATCATCTCTGACTAAGTGGGAGAATCCCAGCCTCACAGAAAATGCTGGTTGGGGGAAAGAGCCCAGCAAAGGAGTTGGGAACAAGGAAATGAGTCTCCGCAGCTGGAGAGTAGACTTGTTGGAGGGGTTTTCAGTCAACAACTGTTCTCTGGTGCCAGCTCTGTGCTAAGTCTGGTGCCTGGCACTGAGGGCACAGAGCTCAACATGAAGATCAAGAAGCTTTCATCTGGTGGGAGTGATTGTCCTTGTAGCAGGAGTGTATACTTATCTCTAGACATGACCCACACAGGGAATGGGGACATACAGACAAAGAGGCCAGAACACCTGGTCCATGCAAGTCTGTCTTGTTCTCCAGTGTATTTCCTGGCTCGTAGTAGGGATGCAATGGTTGTTGAATGAATAAGTGGATGGATGAAGGAATGGAGGAGTCTTGTATGGGTGGAGTTGTATGCCAGACATTGTTGGGGGATGGAGGGAAAAGGAGAGGCCAGACTGTGATGGCCCTGAATGCCCAGCTAAGGCACGGGAACTTTCTCCAAGGCTCCCGAGAGAAGCCATGGCAGCACCGATGAAAAGCCTTGAAAAGGGCTCCTGAGTCTTCCAGTGGGGCCCCCAGCAGTTTACAGAAATGAGTTTTCCTCAGGAATGGAAAACGAAATACCATATTCTTACTTCTAAGTAGGAGCTGAGCTGTGGGTGCACAAAAGCATACAGAGTGATATCATGGACGCTGGAGACTCAGAAGGGGGAAGGGTGGGAGCAGGAATAAGGATAAAAAGCCACAGATCAGGTACAGTGTCCACTACTAGGCTGACAGGTGCACTAAAATCTCAGACTTCACTGTGATACAATTCATCCTTGTAATCAAAAACCACTTGTACCCCAAAAGCTATTGAAATAGAAATAAATAAAATAAAATTATAATTTATTTGAAAAAAAAAAAACAGAAATGAGTTATCCAAAATCCCTGACTTCTAGAAACATTCTAATGACAAGCAGCCTTGTGTGAAGCAGATAGAATGCCAGCCTGGCCTTCTGAAGCCTCTAATGCAGTCCCCACAATGGGACCTTGGACAAGTCACTCCTGCCCTCCCTGGGCCTCAGTTCTGGGCAAAGGTATCCTCCAAGGGGAGCTCCCAGATCACCTCCAGCCCTGCGCCCAGAGTTCAGTCACACTCAAGGAGTTGGGGGAGTGGGGGCAGGCAGAGACCGTCTTACCAGATCAGAGTAGCAGAAGCCCAAGATGGAGCTGACCAGCTGGAATTCCGACGAGAGGCAGGCAAAGAAGGGGAAGTGGGACAGGCCGACTTCAATGCCTCCAATCAGAAGCTCAAAGGCTGGGGAGACAGGGCCAGAGACACTGTGAGCTTCTCTTACCACTGGGTTCGGGGGAGTCCCAGGGAAGCTGTGGTACCTCATGCGGACTTCCAGTCAGGGACCTCAGGACCCAGTGAAAAGAATGGAACAGCCCCAGCTTAGGACCAGCAGGAATGCAGGAATGGCTTTCATTCGTTCATACAACAGGCCCTTCCTGGTCCCTATTCGGCGCCAGGCACTGGGCTTACTATTGACATGAAGGAGACTTGGTCTCTGTACTTGGTAAGCTCACAGTGTGATGGATGGAGACAGACTACATAAACAAACAGACAAATGAATGAGCAAAAATAGCGACTGCAAGTGCACCAGACTTAGAGAGAGGGGCTATGGTATGTGCAAAGCTGCTTGTCAACTACAGCGCACTTTACATATAAGGGAACAGTCATGTTAATCCTGCCACTAACTAGCTCTGAGATGGACTAACAGCATCCAGTATAATATAATCATGCATAATGATTAGATACTTTTCAAAGTGTCTACTCTGAGCTGAGTCCTGGGCCAGGCACTCAGGACAGGAGGAATGGACAAGGTTCTTGCTTTGAGATACTGACAGTCCAACAGGGGAGACAAGTGGGAAAGTCAGTGGCATGAAATGACCTGTAAGATAGGGACATTCAGCCTGCTGCGAGGACACAAAAGATGAAGCCACTGACCTCACTTGGGGTATCACGGAAGGCTTCCTGGAGGCAATGCAACATAAGCAGGAGACTACAATGGAGAGAAGTAGGGAAGGAAGGACATCAAAGGATGGGAGATAATTGGCTGGTCGGCACATGTGTGAATGTGAATGCTGGAGGGCTGGTGAGGAAGATCAATACAAAAACAATAATTGTGGTGAGGATAGCAGTTGCAGCAGCAAAACATTCTAATCTCCCTGAATTCCCCCCACAGAAACAGAGCAGCTAGAAAGACAAAACTAAAGACTCACAGACAACATCTGCAACAAATCTAGGTGACAAGACCCATTTGACGTCAATGTCTGAGTAAGAGGAAGCAGAAGAAAGGCTCTTGGGTCTGAAGACCCAAGAGCTGAAGAACTCAAAAATTTGCAGCAGATATTAACGAGAAAATGCAGCTGAAGGCCACAATTCATAGGTGAGTGTAAGCAGACCTTAGTAGGATCTGAAGATGCTGGAGTTGTCTAAGCCCCCGGAAATTCCTATACTAATAACCTAAGGCTCCTCCCAGGACAAAGCCCTTTACTGAGCATAAATTGCTAGCAGTAGAATCCAAAATGAGGAGTAGCTAGGAAATAATTTGTCTGGACAAGGGTGGAAAAGAGAGGCAGACTCAGAAAATATGAGGAGATAGATGGATGGATAGATAGATAGATAGGTATATAGTAGATAGATGATGGATGGATGATAGATATTAGGTAGATGATAAATAATAATGATAATGAGATAGATAGATAGAAGAAACAGAGATATAGTCACATTGTGAAAACAAAAAAGGGAACTCTAAAGCCACAAAGTAAGAAATAATGTCTGACCCAGCCTTCCTTCTTGAATTTATAAGAAAACTTATTTCACTTAAAAATCAGGCACAGATGGGTGCCTGTAGTCCCAGCCACTGGGGGACTGAAGCAGGAAAATCGCTTGAACCTGGGAGGTAGAGGTTGCAGTGAGCTGCGATCATGCCATTGTGCCCCAGCCTGGGCAACAGAGTGATACTCCATCTCAAAAAAAAAAAATTCAAAGTTATTATTTAAAAAAAGGATAAAGAGCAGAAAAATAGCACTACAGATCACAAAACCACTCCAGAAAGAGGCCTGTAAGACAGATGGAAACTGTAATCTAATATTTCAACATAAGCTAAAAAAATTAAGAAAATGATAGCATCTATGAACAAATAATCTATAAATCAGAATTTGAAAAACTATAAAAGGAAGTGATTAAAGAAAAGAAAGATTTGACGACAGGTTAGATAACTCAAGAAAAAAATTATAAATACAAGGAAAAAATCATTTCAGAAATGAAGACCAAAGTAAAACAAGCAGAAAATTGATATCCTGAATATATGAAGAGCACCTGAAAATAAAGTACACACTATATTTACACTTCCACATGAAACAAAAACCAGACCAAATATATAAAACAACTGCTTTCAAGACACTGGACTTCAGGCAGCAGAGGAAAATGATCACTGAAGGACAGGAAACAAACAAGGTGAGCCCCACCATTTCCCTACCTTAATGCAGAATGTAGTACAGGCAGGGGAAACCCAGGCAGAGCCCTGCAGGTTCCCCGAGTTGAGGAGAAAGAACTGAGACTCTGGGAAGACAAAGACAGCTAGAATTCGCAGGAGATAGTACTGGAGAGGAGGCAGCTGCACAAAGAGAGAGTTCTGGGAGACAGAGATCGGTAGAGGGTTCCCCTGAGTCTTCAGCTGAGTGCTGACCAGCACGGTTGTGTAGGAAAAAACCACTTGAAAAGATTAGAGGTAAACATGTCTGCAAGTCACAAAGTGCCAGGATAGTGCCTGTTCTCACCAGTCAGACTGAAAAACTTCATGACATCAAAAGCACAAGCAAAATTTGGACTTCCTCAAAATTGAAAACTTTTATGTATTAAAGGACATTATCAAGAAAGTGAAAAGAAAACCTACAGAATAAGAAAGCATTTGCAAATCATATATCACATAAGGATTTAATATACAGAATATATAAAGAACTACAACTCAACATCAAAAAGATAAACAACTCAGTAAAAAGATGGCCAGGACTTCAATAGACAAGTCTCCAGACAAGATATACAAATGACCAATAAGCACATAAAAAGATGCTCAGCATCACTAGTCATTAGGGAAACGAAATCAAGACAACAATGAGATGCTACTGCACACCTATTAGGATGGTTATAATCAACAAACACACAGAGAGAGAGAGAGAGAGAGAGAAAGAGAGAGAACAGTAAGGGTTGGCTAGGATGTGGTGAAATTGGAACACTTGCACATGGCTAGTAAAAATATAAAATGGTGCAGCCACTGTGAAAAGCAGTGTGCCAATTCCTCAAAAAGGTAAGCATAGATTTAACTTAGCAAGTGAGCCAGCAATTCCACTGTCGGGTATATAACCAAAAGAATTTAAGATGGGGACACAGATACCTGTGTACCAATGTTCACTACAACATTATTAACAATAGCCAAAAGATTAAAACAACTCAAGTGCTCATCAACAAATAAATGGATTACCAGCCATGATATAATGCAGTATCAGCCGTAAAAAGGAATGAGGTTCTGATCTATGCTACAACATGAATGATTCTTGAAAATATTATGCTAAGTGAAAGAAAGCCAGACACAAAAGTACAAATATTGTTTGAATCTGTTTAAAAGAAATGTCTCGAAGAGGCAAATTCACAGAGATAGAAAGTATATTAGAGCTTATCAGGGTGATATGGTTTGGCTGTGTCCCCACCCAAATCTCATCGTGAACTGTAGTTCCCATAGTCCCCATGTGTGGTGGAGGGACCCAGTGGAAGGTAATTGAATCATGGGAGGGTGATTTTCCCCCATACTATTCTCATGATAGTGCGTAAGTTCTCACGAGATCTGATGGTTTTATAAAGGGCTTCCCCCGTTGCTCAGCTCTTATTCTCTCTCCTGCCACCACGTGAAGAAGGACATGTTTGCTGTTTGCTTCCCCTTCTGCTACGATTGTAAGTTTCCTGAGGCTTCCCCAGCCCTGTGGAACTGTGAGTCAATTAAATCTCTTTCCTTTACAAATTACCCAGTCCCAGGTATTTCTTTATAGCAGCATGAGACTGGACTATGACACCAGGGTCTGAGGAGAGGAGGAAAGAGGAGTTATTGCTTAATAATGTTTGGAGTGATGAAAAGTTTTGAAAATAGATATTTGTAATGGTTGCACAAAATTGTGAATGTAATTAATGCCACTGGGTTGTATATTTAAAAATGATTGAAATGAAAAATTTATGTTACATATATTTTACTACAATACAATTTTTTTAAAGGAACAGAGCATCAATTAACTATGCAACAACTCCAATGCCCTAAAATTGTAGTCCTCAAGGAGGGAAAAGAGAGAAAAAATATTTAAAGAAATAATGGCCAAAATTTCTTCTTTCTTTCTTTCTTTCTCTCTTTCTTTCTCCTTCCTTCCTTCCTTTTCCTTTTTTCTTTGAGACAGAGTCTCACTCTGTCACCTACACTGGAGTGCAGTGATGCACTCTGGGCTGACTGCAACCTCTGCCTCCTGGGTTCAAGTGATTCTCCTGCCTCAGCCTCCCAAGAAGCTGGAACTACAGGTGCATGCCACCACAGCTGGCTAATTTTTTTTGTATTTGTAGTAGAGATGGCATTTCATCATGTGGGCCAGGCTGGTCTTGAACTCCTTACATCAAGTGATCCACCCACCTCAGCCTCCCAAAGTGCTTGGATTACAGATGTGAGCCACTGAGACTGGCCTTCCTTCCTTCTTTTTCTTTTTCTTTTTTTTTTTTTTTGAGACAGGGTCTTGCTCTGTAGCCCAGGCTAGAATGCAGTGGCACAATCATGGCTCACTGCAGCTTTGACAACCCAGGCTCAGGTGCTCCTCCTGCCTCAGCTTTCCAAGTAGCGGGGAATACAGGCATGTGCCACCATGCCCAACTAATTTTATTTTTATTTTTGTAGAGATGGGGTCTCACTAAGTTGCCCAGGCTGGTCCCAAAATCCTGAGCTCAAGAATCCTCCTGCCTCAGCCTCCCAAAGTGCTAGGATTATAGCCGTGAGCCACCTCACCATGCCCAAAATTTTTCTAAATTTGAGGAAAAATCAAAATGCAGAAATCAACAAACTCCAAGCATGAGAAATATCAAGAAAATTTGACACATAGTAATGTAATTGTTCAAAATCCGTGTTTTTTAAAAAACAAGCTTTCTCACTAATATGAGGAACAAGAGAAGGATGCTTGGTCTGATCACTTGTACTGAGCATTTTACTGGAAATTTCACCCTCTGCAATTGGGAAAAACATTAACAATAAAATAAAAGACCTCCATATTGGAAAAGAAGAAATAAAACTACTGCCTTTATTCACAGATAATATGATGTAGTATGTCCAAAATACTATACAATCTACAGAAAAAGCTACTGGAACTACTAACTGAGTTTAGCAAGGTTGTAGGATATAACATCAACATACAAAAATCAGTTGTATTTCTATATATTAGCAATGAACATTAAAAGATATAAAACAGATATAAATCTGACAGAAGATGTGAAAGATCTATTCACTGAAAACTACAAAACATTGCTGAGAGAAAGTAATGAACTCTAAATAAAAGGAGATATATATTGTGTTTATGGGTCAGAAGACTCACTATTGTTAAAATAACAATTTTCCCAAAATGGATCTAAAAATGTACAAATGATGTAATCCCAATTTCAGCATTATTTGTATAAATTGACAAATTTATTCTAAAATTCATGTAGAAATGCAAAGAATCTAGAATTGCAAAAATAACTTTGAAATAAAAATGTATCTGAAGGACTAATACCACCTGATTTCAAGACTTATTATAAATCTATAATAATGAAGACAGTATGGTATTGGTGCAAAGATAGACAAACAGATCAATAGGAGAAAATAGAGAGTCTAAGAATAGACCCATACATATGTGACCAATTGCTTTCCAACAAAGGTGCAAAGGCATATCAGTGGACAAAGGACAGGCTTTTGTAGCAAATAGTGCTAGAATACGTTTTATATGGCAATCCAAAGGCAAAAAAAAAACTTTAATCCACACCTCCTACTATATACTATATGCAAAAAAAAATTAGCTCAAAATGTATTGTAGACCTCAAAGCAAAATTTGAGGTTATAAAACTCTGGAAAAAAATACAGGAGAATATCTACATGACCTTATCTTAGGAAAATATTTCTTATATGACACCATAAGCCTGATCTATAAAAGAAAAAAAATGAGTCAATTGGATTTCATCAAAAGTAATGTCAACTCTTCAAAAGAGTTTGTTAGGAGGATTAAAATTCGAGCCACAGATTGGGAGAAAATATTTGCAATTCATATATGTGTATGATAATGGTCTCATACCCAAAATATATTTTTAAAACTCTTAAAACTCACTAAAAAGAAAGCTAAAAAACCAATTTTTGAAAACAGGCAAATGATTTGAACAGAAGCTTCATCAAAGGAGGTACAGGAATAGCAAATAAGCACATAAAAATATGCTCAACAGCATTAGTCACTATAAAAATGCAAATTAAAACCACAATAAGAAACCACTATACACTTCTTAGAAAATTTAAAATTTAAAAAATTAAATTAACAAAATGAATTTAATTTTAAAAATTAAATTTTTTACATTTAGAAACTAAAATTTAAAAATTGACTGTACCAGTGCTGGAGAAACTGGAACTCTCATACTGATGGGGATAATCTAAAGTGGTACAATCACTTTGGAAAGCAGTTTGACAGTTTCTTTAAAAGTATGATCTACTATATGATCTATGTAATCCAGCCTTTAAAAATATGATCTACTATATGGTCTGTGTAATCCAACCATTCTACTCATAGGTATTTACTCAGGAAAACTGAAGCATGGGTACATGAAAAGACTTGTACACAAACGTTCACAGCAGTTTTATTTGCAATGGCCAAAAGTGGAAATAAATCAGATGTTACTCATGAAGTGAATGGATAAACAAATTGTAGTCAATTTATATAGTGGAATACTACTCAGCAAGAAAAAAGGATAAACTACTAACACATGTTACATATGTATGAATCTCAAAATAGCTATGCTGACTGAAAGAAGCCAGACCAAAAAAAAAAGTACATTCTGTATGATTCTATTTATACAAAATTCGGGAAAATGCAAACTAAGTAGATTAGTGGGCATGTGACAGAAGAGGGGAGGAAAAGGGAGATTACAAAGGGGAACAAGGAAATCTCTGAGATTCCTTATCCTGATTGTGGCGATGGTTTCATTGATGTAAATATTTGCCAAAACTTCTCAAACTGTGTACTTCTAAGAGGTGTGTAATGATGCATTATTTTGGTTTTAATTTGCATTTTCTTAAAGACTAATGACCTGTTAGCGGGCATTTGATCACATAGGCTTGGAGCCCATGAGAGGGAACTGTACTGGACAGAGAGGTTTGAGAATGATTGTATCATGGAAAAGTGAACTTGTAGCTTAGAGTTACACTCCTCCAGATGGAGCATGAGGCATGGGGAAAGACGATGCCTCAGACTAATGGCCAAAAACATAAGCATTGTTCTTTGAGGAGGAATGGGGCTCATCAACATCAAGAAGGCAGCCATGACTATGACACAGGAGAGCTTTTGGCAGGTAGGTGAGGAAGAACCTACTTCCTAAGACTTGATATATCATATCTAAAGGACCTCTGAATGTAACTGGGGAAAGCCCCACAAAGAAGCTTTGAAGATTTGTGGGCTAGGTGTTGACCCTGGGCAAGCAACAGGCTGGCAAGAACATGACCATTCACAGAGTTTATCCTCTGATCCCAGACAGCGTGTGCCATGTGGTCTCTGAGAGCAAGAATTTTCATGATGCAGTTTCCAGCAGGTATGAGGTATCCCCAGTACCTTGGGCCCACTGCGGGATCTGCAGGGGCTGGTAGCCTTCTGAGAACAAAAACATGACCTTATTAGCTGTGGCCCCAAAGGTGATTCCATAGGACCATCGGTTACTGAAAGTGCCCACGAAGTCCAGAGGCCTGCAAACAACAGAAACAGTTTGTGAGGCCAGAAGGTGGCTCTGAGACATTCCCACAGATCATCGCCAAAGTAGAGATCCCACCCTGAGGAGGGATTATTGAATAGTCAGCTGCTTATTGCAACTGACATTTTGTGGGGCTCTCTGTGCCAGGCCTAGGGGTAAGCATGAATTCAGGGTACTGAAGTAAGGAGGACAAAACTCTTGCTCTGGAGGAGCTCCAAGATGAGCAGGAGATATCAGCAAGGACACCAGAAGCCTTGACAGCAAAATGGGATGAGTTTCATCTATAAGAGACACAGACAGAATGACTCAAGGACCAAAACAAGGTGTAGGTCCAAGACAGATTTGGGGAAGCCTGCCCTCAGCCAGCCACATTCTATGAGAATTCTTCCTTCCAATATACCTGATGAGGGTCTAGGTATCGTTTGCTATGTCTGTGCTTGAAGAAGTAAATAATAGGCACCCTGAAATATGCCACTCTGGCATATCGACTATTTTGAATTAAAGACATTCAAAAAACAGCAGGTACAAGAAGATCACTCTGACCTTCACGCTATTTCTTAAAAACAGGAGATGAAATTTCTATGTAAAAAATGCTCTCCCTATACAGAAAGAAAGTAACATTCTTATCATCAGGGACAGGAAGTTGAGGCCAAGAGAATTTGGTACAGACTTTATTTAAATAACTCTTGTCTTCTAGTCTCCCCCCACAACTTAGTTACTTTTTCACAACTTAACTATTTGTCCAATTCAATGTGTACGTATTCAACTCTAACTGTATATTTGGGTCTTCACTTCATTATAAGGGCTCCTGTGTCACCTAAAACTTATATTAAATAAATGTGTATACTTTTCTCCTATTGTCTTATGTCAGTTTAATTATCAGGCCCAGCTGAAAAACTTAAGAGGGTAGAGATATAATTTTGTCTCCCCTACACATTCATGCCTTCCTAGCCACAGTTGACTGGACTATGGGCCTGTCTTTGAATGGGCTGATCAGATGTCTGATCTTATATTTTGAATCTGTGACCCTAAGGACATGAACAAGTTAGCTGTTAAAGTACTTGTCTGGAAAGTCATAAAAAGTTGGGATCAGAGTCAGTGCCAGAGGAGAGCCAAGGTTACAGGGAAGCAGAGATTCTAAGTCAGAGAGGAAAATGGTAGAACGGTGCTGAGGAGGCACCAGTAACACAGAGGGGCAGAAAGAGAGAGAAAAAATCAATCTCCCACAGATTCCCATCTCAAGAGATCCAGTTCCCATGAGGCCTGTTCTGTTGGTTTATGTGAGACTCTAACTTTGTAAAAAAAAAAAAAAAAAAAAAAAAAAAGATCCTTTCTCACCAGGTGCGGTGGCTCACATCTGTAATCCCAGCACTTTGGGAGGCCAAGATAGGCGAGTTGCTTGAACCCAGGAGCTTGAGACCAGACTGGGCAACATGAAACAAGAAACCCTGTTTCTACAAAACATACAAAAATTAGCCGGGTGTTGTGGTGCCCACCTGTAGTCTCAGGTACTCGGAAGGCTAAGCTGGGAGGATGGCCTGAGCCCAAGAGGTTGAGGCTGCAGTGAGCCAAAATTATATCCTTATACTCCAGCCTGGGTGACAGAGCTAGACCCCATCTCAAAAAAAAAAAAAAAAAGAAAAAGAAAAATCCTTTCTCTTCCTTTAATGTAAACAAGCTTGAGTGAATATCTGTTTCTTCTAACCAAGACAGCTTTGTATAGGTCAGAGGAAGCAGTTGCATTTGGGAGAAGAAAAAAGTCTCTTTGAATGAATGAAAAGGGAACGGCCATTTAAAGCGGGCCTTAATGAAAACTCAGGAGGGAAGGGAGAGCCAGGCACTGCAGGCAGGGAGTCCCATTGGCTCACTCGCCTTCACATTTAAGGCTCAGCAGAAGGAGCACATCTTCCAGGAAGCCTCCCTGTTCACCCACTGCCAGTGAGGCTACCCCATCCGTGTCCCCTCAGCATTAAGTTCATGTCCCTGTTGAGCATACCTCTGTCACCCAGGCTAGAGTAGAATGGTGTAATTTTGGCTCACTGCAGCCTCAACCTCCTGAGCTCAAGCGATCCTCCCACCTTAGCCTCCCAAGTACCTGGGACTACAGGTGGGCGCCACCACACCAGACCCTTTTGAGACAGGGTCTATCTCTGTCATATTATTTCCTCTCTGACTTAGAATCTCTGCTTCCCTGTAACCGTGGCTCTCCACTTGTTTAGTTAACTATAAACCCCTTAGCGGTGGGGACCTAGCAATGGACCTTGGAAAGAGTAGGCGCTTAGTGCAGGTTTGTGGACATGCATTTTGTAGAACTGAATCGAAATCTAATCAAGATCCCATCTGTAGTACTTAAGAGCTATGTGAGACTCAGTTTCCTCACCTTTAAAACAGAGACACATCCCCTACTCTGCCCCTATCACATTCATTGTGGACAGCAAATGATGAACTGCTTTATCACCTGCAGAGTGCCACACACGTGAGGGGTTATTGCTCGGAGAAGATAGTGGGCCAAAATTATCAGACAAGCAGGGGTTTAGGTGGGAAAGTAGCCAGGGAGCATGTCAACTGTGTCATTATCCATGTAATTCAAAGTAGTTGAATGTAACTGCTATGGACCTCCTACTTTATAAAGTCCTGTGCCAGCCCCTACATGCTAAATGTCTAGGGCAGAACTGAAGGTCTTTATCCACCAGCTTCAGTCTCTTTCTATGCCTCAACCAATGGGTCTCAGACCTGGCAGTTTGGAAAGTGCTGACTGCCCCAGTGGGTGGTATCTAGAATGAATCTCTCACCTGCAGCTCAGGTCACCCCTTGCCTCAGTTCTGACATCTGTGCTTTCTCTCTTCTCCAGAGCCCTTGGCTGAGACCTCAGCATGTCCACAGCTTGAGCCTGCTAAGGTTATAACACTGGGGGGATTCAAAAGAATATAAGGCTGATCTGGGCTAAAGGTCTTGTCACTTGTTAGCTGTGTGGCCGTGGGTAGGTCACTTAACCTCTCTAAGCTTGAGTTCCCTCATTCATTGCATGAGGATAACAATTTCTACCATGCTAGATTGGCAAGAGGATTTGTCAGAATAATGTAGGCAAAGCAAATGGTTCAGTGCTTGGGTCACAGATGGTGTGCAATAAATGTTAACTGCATGATGATGAAGATGATTATAAGAAGTGATGAAACAGAGATACGAACAATCAGAACTCAAGGAAGAATGTGATATGAGCTGCAGAGACTCAAAATGGCAGAGCTAGAAAAGCTCTGAAAGCTCTCCTGGTGCATGACCCATGGTGCCATCCTAACAAGAAGCTTTGCTGTCTCCATTCACAGGGAGCTCTCTCCCTCCTGCCTCCTGAGGTAGCCATAGTCTCAGGTGTGGGAAGGTCTTTTCCATAGTAGGCTGTGTCTCTGTGAGATGATTTAAGCATATTTGAGCAGCCCTGGGTGCTGATAGCTGCAATGGCTTGGAAACCAATTCTGAACTCTGAGAGCTTTGGTTGGGTTGGGGCACGGAGGGGCAGGGCTGTGCACAGTGGGGTAGAGGTGGAGGAGAGGTCCTGGTAGCTATCTGACCTCATAATTGGCATTGGCTCCAACCACAGGATACCCCAAGCTTTAGGGGTTGACTCAACTCACATGATAATGCCAAAGCAGTTCCCCAGCAGGTAAGAGGTATCATCTCTCTGTCTACAATGCTCTCATCTTTGAAGGAAGGACAAGATCAACATGATGAAGAGCTGTAAGAAGAGAAGATGAGAGTTAGTGGGCATGTTCATTCTCAGCATGGCCTCTGAGCCCTCCCTGAAAACAAACGTGTGGGTTAGCAGAGTGCACAGAACATTAGTGACACCTCAAACTCCAGAGCCAGGGGGCTGACTGCATGCACTCTTGAGCTACCAGAATGTTCTGTACTGAGCCTTTCCTTTTGTTTCCCTGAACAGATGTATGTTCAAATCTGGTCTCTCTCACATCCTGGTTGAGAGAGAGATTTAACTTTTCTGTACCTCAGTTTCCTCTTCTGTCAAAAGGCAGTAATAACTGCCAGGTTGCAAAGGCTTCTTTGCTGCTTTTCTGTGGATTCAGTCATGTTCTCACAAACTTGATGCTCTTTCTCTCTCCTGCCTTTATCAGAAACTTCTTGAGAATTGTCTACACTTGTGTCTCCATTCCCTCACCTCTCACTGGCTCCTCAACCCCCGAACCTGGCTTCTACCCTCATCACTCTGCTGAAACAGCTATGGCCAAAGTCACTGATGACTGTTTTGTGGCTTGGTCCCGTGTATACTTGAAGTCCAAATCTAGCTTCATCTCCCAGCAGCATTCTACAATGTTGACCATTCCCTCTTCTTTGAGTACTCTCTTCCCTAGGCCTTCATTACAACCATGTTTTCTTGATTTTTCCCCATTATTCCTCAGCATTCTCTGCTGGATCACTCTTTACCCCAGCCCTTGCTGCAGAGTTCCTTATAGCTCAGTCCAAGGGCTACTCATCTTACCTGGTCTTCTCTTGGTGATCTCATTTATGTCGCCCAGGACGGTCTCAAAGTCCTGGCCTCAGGTGATCCTTCCACCCTGGCCTCCCAAAGCACTGGGATTACAGGTGTGAGCCATTGTGCCTAGCCTCATGTCCATGTTTTAATAACCATAAATACGCAGAAGACTTAAATTTGAATCTCCAGCCCCGACCTTGTCCATAAGCTCCAAAACTATTTAGCCAACTACACAGTTGATATTTCTTTTTAATGTATTGAAAGCTTCTCAAAGCTTGTATCAAAAGCTTCAGTATGCATCTTTTTATTTGAGACAGCGTCTCACTTTGTCACCCACGCTGGAGTGCAGTAGCACAACCACGGCTGACTGCAGACTCAAATTCCCAGGCTCAGCTGATCCTCCCACCTCAGCCTCCTGGGTAGCTGGGACCACAGGCACATGCCACCACCCCCAGCTAATTTTTGTAGAGATGAGGTTTTGCCATGTTGCCCATCCTGTTCTCAAACTCCTAGACTCAAGTGATCTACCTGCCTCGGCCTCCCAAAGTGCTGGGATTACAGGCAGGAGCCACTTTGCCTGGCCAAGTATGTCTTATATCTGCCCCAAACCTGGATCTCTTCTAATGTTCCTTAATGAGTAAATGACAGCTACCATCATCCTTTCATTGTGCAAGTTAGAAACCTAAGTCATCCTCAACCTGCCCCTCTCCCTAACCTTCCTATCCAGCCCATTACAAGTCCTATTGTTTTCACCTCCTGAACTTCTGGAGTTGACATCATCATCTAGGATGTGATAAAATCACGTCTCACCTGGATCCCTGCAAGTCTCCCAGTTGGTCTTCCTGCCTCATCTCTTGCCCACCTCCAACTCGATCTCCGCATTGCAACCAGAGAGATCATTTAAAAACATAAATCTGATCACACCATCTTCATGCTGGAAACACTTCCATTATTTCCTACTGTACTTAGAATGAAGGCAAAACTAAACACAGAGCCCCAAAGGGCTCTGCCTGGCCTGCCCCGCCCACCTCCCCAGACCTCTCTGCCTCAATTCCTCACTCCAGCCATGGCTGAACTTCTCAGCTCTTCCCACTCTGCCTTCTCCCTCCCTCCCCAGAGCCTCTGCATGTGCTCTCCCCTTCTGTCTGCAATATCCTTAACTACATCTTCCAACTGACCTCAGAGCCATCATTACTTCATTGGAAAAGCCTGTTTCACTCTCCTAAAAGTCCATATGCCTGATTCTCGGGCCCACAAAGCCTTCTTCTGCCATATTTTTGGTATATAATGTAAGACATTTTAGAAGGAAACTCAGCTGATCTCTTTCCTCTGATCTACTCAGGTCTCTTTGGGAATCTGTGTTTGGCAGCAGCCCAGCTGCCCTTTCCTGCCCTCCTCACCCTTCCCCTGCCTTTACTTACTGATGGGATGAGGGAATAATGAAGGAAGAGCTCCATGTCCACCGAGCTGGTACAAGTGCCATTTAACTGCCTGGTCCTGCAAAATGGCCAAAAACATCACATTCATATCATCAGTCATTGCTGTTGTCATTCACACTTTAGTCTTGAACATCACTGTCAAGAAGTTTGGCCTAAGACCATCCGCTAAGACCATCTGATCTTTTTAAATTTCACTTTCTGAGAGCCAAGGCTGCTCACCTGTAGTGTGTCTTCCCTAAGTGGAATAATCTTTCATACTTTTTTCTTCAGCTTGATTATTTATCCAACTTCTCTGCTAACTGAAACTAAGTCCTTCATTTAGGGGCAGAATCCAGTTCTGTGGGGCTAAAAGCTTATATAATTTGGGCATGTTTTTAAAGCAATACTACAAAATGTCTTACTTTTTCATATTTTAAGGGAGACATATGACCATGTAAACACCTAATCAGGGTTCTTCCCACTCTCCCAGAGCCTTGGAAGGGTCCTGTGTGAGTGAGGGGCCCTGAGACTAAAGCATCCTTCACAAGAAATTAGCACTGGTCAAGGTCAAGAAACATCAGCTCACACCTGAGCCACTGCTGGGCTGTTGGGGCAGGAGAGAGATTACTGGACTACAGGCTGCAGACTCTGTTCTCTCCAGCCCCCACTATCTGTGGAACAGGACTGTCATTGTCTCATGTCTAAAACACATGGCAGTAGTGTTACGGCTTCTCTTCAAAGAGATGCCTCCTTTCTGGGACTCCCACCACACTTTGTTCTTTCTGCTCTGATCCCCACAAGGCCACCACAACACACTCTATCATATATGTCCACATTTTTGTTCATGCTTTTCCCAACTCCTACACCATCCACCAGCCAGCCGGCCATCTGCTGACCTTTTTTCCCTAGACAGCACCTACTGTTCCCTCAGACGTCTCAGAGAAGAGGACTCCTCTGGGGATTCCATAAGCTTGGCATATTCCCCAGTAAGTCTTTAAAATGCCAGTGCTCCACAGTTATGTCTAACCATGGATCTGAAATATCTGATAAGTGGTGGGGAGGGGGTGGATGAGACCCAAACTGTCAGATATGTGATAGAACTGTAAAAGTCAGACTTCTGCTTTTAGGGAGGTAAACAGAGTATATATACCAGTCTCCTCATCCCATACAAAACCCTCAAAATGATAAGAAAGAAAGAAGGAAGGAAGGAAAGAAAGAAAGAAAGAAAGAGAGAGAGAAAGAAAGAGAAGGAAGGAAGGAAAGAAAGAAAGAGAAAGAAAAAAGAAAGAAAGAAAGAAAGGAAGAAAGGAAGGAAGGAAGAAAAAAAGGAAGGAAGAAAGGGAAGGAAGGGAGGAGAAAGAAAGAGAAAGAGAGAGAGAGAGAATGCATAACCATACTAGAAAGCAAGAAGGGGCTCTATCAGGGACATGGAAATTACCAGAAGACCCTGAAAGATAGAGAGCAACTGGGACTAGATCAGAGTAAAGGCATCAGCCATCATGGCCCCAGACTGTAAGAGCACTCAGGATGTGCTCAATACCCATAGTACAAGAAGTGGAAGCAGAATGGGGCTGGCAACAGACCACAGGAGAAGGAGGAAGAGGAGGAAAAGGAGGATAAGAGGAAGGAGGAAAAAGAATTCTGAAACTTTAAGACAGGTCTTTTGAAATAACCTAGTCAGAAAAGAAAATGAGAATAAAAAATAAAAGAAAATGAGAATAAAAAAGAATGAGAGCAGCCAAACGGGAAGGCTCAAGATGGTGTGCCTGTTGGAGACCCCAATCTGCATGAGCTTCCTCTCAGACCATGAATGAAAGTTACTGGAATTCTCCAGTCCTGTCACTCCAAAGGAGCTACTGTTTACAGATGCCACAGTGACACCGCACCTCATGGCACTGCTTAGCAGGTTCCACTATATCCAGGAGTACATCGGTCGGATCGTCTCACACTGCTGTAAAGGGGCCAGATCATCAAACAATTTTATTTAGCCGTGGTGCAGTTAAGAATATTGCTCACCTACTAACCTCATTTTCTACAAAGTTCAAATGCAAGCACTGAAATGTTTCTCAGTTTTACCCTGGTAAATGTTTTAGTTGATGGAGAATTGTTATCACAGATTTTTGTGACGATGTTACAGAGGGATAAGCATATTGAGATGCAGCTTACATCAGCAAAATGTTTAACTTACATGTATACAGCTGGAGCAATTCAGACAGATAACAACTGTATTAAAGACATTGCCTTATTTGGTTCAAACATGCAGTAAGAAGAGATTACTAGAGGAGAGAGTTAAAGGAGCTGAGACACTTGCCTATCTGATTGAACCAGATATTGAGCTACAGAGAATCGCTAGTGTAACTGATCACCTCATCGCCATGTTTGCTGACTATTTCAAGTATCCCAACTCATTGAGTGCCATCACTGATAGTAAAAGGCTTGATCATGATTTAAAACATGCTCATGAACTCTGCCAGGCTGCATTCAATCTCTACGACTCTCTTAGAGCAAATGATGAAGACATTCAGAAGAAAAGCCCTGAGACTGAAAATATGATGGACTGAATTGTGACTGGCTTGTCTGAGTCTAGTGTCAAGGTGCGGTTACCTGCTCTCAGATGTTTGCACCATTTATCCAGATCTGTGCAGCAGCTTCAAAACAGTTTCTAGGATCACACTCTGTGAAAACCTTTAATGAAGGTTTTACAAAATGCACCAGATGAAATCCTAGTAGCAGCATCTTCCATGGTATATAATCTTCTTGAATTTTCTCCAAGGAAAGAGTCAATTTTAAAATCAGGAGTTGTAAAGCTACTTTGTGGATTAACCCAGAGTGAAAATCCTGCTTTATGAGTGAGCAGAATTTGGGATTTAATGAATATGGCATTTCAGGCTGAACAAAAAATAAAAGCAGACATGTTACAAAGCTTGAGTGCTGAACAGCTATTCTGGTTATTATCAGATTCAGATTTGAATGTCCTGATGAAGACACTGGGACTTCTTAGAAATATCCTCTTGACCTGGCTTCATATAATAAAATAATGAGTACTCATGGAAAGTAAATTATGCAAGCTGTCATCCTTATTCTGGAAGGGGAACATAACTTTAAGGTCAAAGAGTAGATACTGTGCATCTTAGCCAATATAAAAGATGAGACAACAGCAAAAGAATGTATTATGACCAATGATGATATCCTTCAGAAAATCAAATATTACATGGACCATTCACATGTCAAACTGCAGCTTCCAGCTATGTTTTGTATATCAAACCTCATATGGAATGAAGAAGAAGGTTCACAAGAATGCCAGGATAAATTATGAGACATGGGCATCATAGATATTCTACATAAACCGAGTCAGCCACCAGATTCAGACCTTTGTGACAAGGCAAAGATGGCACTGCAGCAGTACCTGGCATGATGAGAGCGCCCCTAGGCACCTGTGAGCATCCTACATCCTTGTTTAAGAAAGTACAGGTGGCTCACGCCTGTAATCTCAGCACTTTGGGAGGCTGAGGCAGGCGGATCACGAGGTCAGGAGATCAAGACCATCCTGGCTAACACGGCGAAACCCCATCTCTACTAAAAATACAAAAAATTAGCTGGGCGTGATGGCAGGTGCCTGTAGTCCCAGCTACTTGGGAGGCTGAGGCAGAAGAATGGCATGAACCCAGGAGGCAGAGGTTGCAGTGAGCTGAGATCACACCACTGCACTCCAGCCTGGGTGACAGAGTGAGACTCCACCTCAAAAAAAAAAAAAAAAAAAAGAAAAAGAAAGTACAGAAACCAGTTTCATTTGATTCCTTCTATTTGCACAAGTTGCCTTGGACTGCAGGGAGCTGTTGTGCAAAAGTAATTTAGTAGGCTTAGATCTCAAATTCACCTTGAGAACATTTTTTGAGGTAGTAATTTCCTCAGAAGATTACTGTGTTTTGTTTTAGTTTTTTCTTAGCTACATGGACTCTTTATTAGAACAATCAGTCGTTTTCCTTTGGACCTACAATCTTTTGCCTATGCTGCAGCCACTTTGTGAGTGAGAATGAATATGTCTGTGTGAACACACAGGTGTGCGTGTGTGTGTGTGCACATGTACCTGGGCCAGAATGAATGTATATGTGTGTATGAGGGATACCTCACATTTTTCTTTCCTCATTTTGTGTGAAAATGTCTTTTCTACAGATTTTCCAGGTTTTAAGCATTGCTTGCTGTACAAAAACTTTACTGAATTATATAAAGTTTGAATGAAATGTTATTTTAAATACAAAACAATTGTTAAGTGTTCAATAAAGGTTATGCTGAATTTTGGTCAGATGAAAACTTGTAAGTAAAAAATATATACATGTCTGAACCTGAAAAAAAAAGAATGAAGAAAGTCAATGAGACTTAAGGGAAATCATTAAGCAAAGAAATAGCTGTACTATAGAAATGCCAGAGGGATAAGAGATAAACAAAGGCACAGAAAATCTATTTGACAAAATAATAGCTGAAAAGTTTACAAGTTTTGGGAGCGACATGGACATCTAGATCCAGGAAGCACAAAGATCCCCAATTAGATTCAACCCAAAAAGATCCTCTCTGAGGCACATTATAATCAAATGGCCAAAAATCAAAGACAAAGAAAGAATTCTAAAAGCTATAAGACAAAAGCATCAGTCACATATAAGGGAATCTCCATTAGAATCTCTGTAGATTTCTCAGCAGAAACCCTGCAGGCAAGGAGAGAATGGGATGACATAGTCAAAGTGCTGAAAAACAAAACAAAACCAAACCCCTGTTAACCAAGAACACAATATCTAGCAAAACTCTCATCCTTCAGAAATGAGAGAGAAATAAAGACCTTCCCAGACAAGCAAAAACTGGGGGGATTTATTACCACTAGACCAGCCTTACCAGAAATGCTTAAAGGAGTGCTGCAACTGGAAGCTAAAAATCAATAACCAGTAGAGGTACATTCATAATCAAACTGATACTACCCCAGTGTTATAATGGTGCTATGTAAATCTTTCATTGCTTTAGTATGAAAAGTAAAAGTCAAAATGGTCAATAAGAGCTACAATTAGTGGCTAAGGAACATGCAATAAAGATATAAATTAAGGCAATGAAAATATAAATTGTGGAAGGAGAACAATAGTATGGAGCATTTTTATGCAACCAAAGTTAAATTATTATCAGCTTAAAGTTGTCTATTATAACTACAAGACTCTGTGTTAGCCCCATAATAACTACAAAAAAAAGAAATTAAAACAGACACACAAACAAGAAAAAGAAAGTAAACAATGCTTAATACCACAGAAAACCACTGAACCAAAGGTAAGCAGTAAGAGAGGAAGAAAAAAGAATCTACCAAACAGCCAGAAAACAATCAAATGGCAGGAGTACATCCTACTTATCAATAATAACCGTGAATATAAATGGATTAAATTCTCCAATTTAAAGTGAGCTCCTGAATGGATTTAAAAACAAGACCCAACTATATGCTCCCTACAAGAGACTAGCCTCACTGGTAGACAAGCATAGACTGAAAGTAAAGGAATGGAAAAAGATATTTCATGCAAACAGATACCAAAAGTGAGCAGGAGTACTCATACTCCTGAAAGGATAAAAGAGCTAGACATTTTATCAGATAAAATAGATTTTAAGTAAAAAACTATAAAAAGCAACAAAGGAGGTCATTATCTAATGACAAAGGAATCAATCCAACAAGTGGATTAACAACTGTAAATACATATACACTCAACACTGAAGCACCCTAATATATGATGAATATATAATATTATGAATACTATATCATGAAGCACCCTAACATAAATGAATATTATTAGCTCTAAAAGGAGAGACAGATTGTTAATACAATAACAGTAGGGTACTTCAGCATCCCCCTTTCAACAACGGACAGATCATCTAGACAGCAAATCATGAAAGAAACATTAGACTTAGGCCAGGCATGGTGGCTTATGCCTATAATCCCAATGCTTTGGCAGTCCAATGCAGGAGGATCACTTGAGGCCAGGAGTTCAAGATTAGCCTGGGCAACATAGCAAGACTCCTTCTCTATAAAAATTTTTAAAAGTTAGTTGATCTCGGTGGCACATGCCCTGTCTCTATAAAACAAACAAACAAAAAACAACAACAAACAAACAAAAAACAAGAAACAGCAGACTTAAACTGCTCATAGTCCAAATGGACTTAACAGACGTACAGAACATTCCACCCAGCACTGCAGAATACACATTCTTCTCAACTGCACATGGAACATTCTCCAGGATAGATCATGTATTAGGCCACAGAATAGGTCTTAACAAATGCAAGATGCTGAAATCATTTCAAGAATTTTTTTATTGACCACAATGGTATAAAAACTAGAAATCAATAACAGAAGGAACACTACAACAGAAGTACAAATGTATGGAAATTAAACAACATGCTCCCAAATAACCACTAGGTCAATGAAGAAATTAAAGAGGGAATTTTAAAATTTATTGAGGAAAAATAAGAGTGGAAACACATTGTATCAAAACCAATGGGACACAGCAAAAGCAGTTCTAAGGGGGAAGTGTACAGCCATAAATACCTACATCAAAAAAGAAGAAAGATTTCCAATAACCTAATGACACACCTCAAGGAACTAGAAAAACAGAAACAAACCAAACCCCAAATTGTTAGAAATAAGTAAGTAATAAAGTCGAGGTCAGAAATAAATGAAACAAGGCCAAGAAAAGCAATTTTTACTTCATTTATTTTTTATTTTTTTATTTTTTTTGAGATGGAGTCTTGCTCTGTCACCCAGGCTGGAGTGCAGTGGTGTGATCTCAGCTCACTGCAACCTCTGCCTTCCAGGTTCAAGTGATCCTCATGCCTCAGCCTCCCCAGTAGCTGGAATTATAGGCTTCCACCACCATGCCCAACTAATTTTTGTATTTTTAGTACAGACAGGGTTTCACCATGTTGCCCAGGCTGGTCTCCAACTCCTGACCTCAGGTGATCCACCTGCCTCAGCTTCCCAATGTGATGGGATTACAGGCATGAGCCACCACACCAGGCCAAAAAAAAAGCCATTTTTAAAAACTTAGCAAAAAAGAGTTCTTTTTTCTGAAAAGATAAAATCAACAAACCTTTAGCTAGACTAACAACAAAGAGAGAAGATGCAAATAAAGTCAGAGATGAAAAAGGATACATTACAACTGACATCACAGAAATACAAAGGATCATAAGAGACTCATGAATCACAACTATAAGCAAACAAATTTGAAAACATAAAAGAAAAGGATAAATGCCTAGACACATATAACACCTGAAGGTTAAATTATGAAGAAATAGAAAACCTGAATAGAGAAAAACAAGTGAGAAAATTGAATCAGTAATAAAAAGTCTTTCATCACAAAAAGTCCTTGAGCCAATGGCTCTGCTGCTAAATTCCATCAGACATTTAAAGAATAGCTAATATCAATTCTTCTCAAACTATTCCAGAAAATTGAGGAAAGGGGAATAGTTCCAAATGCATTTTACAAGGCCAGCATTATGCTGATTCCAAAACCAGATGAGGGCACACAATAGAACAAAACTACAGGCCAATATCTCTGATAAACATAGATGCAAAAATTCTCAACAAGGTATTGACAAACCAAATTCAATAGCACATTAAAAATATCATTCACTATCATCAAGTGAGGTTCATCCCAGGGATGCAAAGATAGTTCAATAAATGCATTTCAATACATGTGATACACCACATTAACAGAAAGAAAGACGAAAACCACATGATCACTTCATTAAATGCTGAAAAAGCATTTGACAAAATTCAGTATCCCTTCAAAATAAAAACTCTCAACAAAGTAGGCATAGAATACATGTACCTCGATCCAATAAAGGCCATGTATGACAAACCCACAGCTAACATAATACTGAATGGGGGAAAGCTGAAAGATTTTTCTCTAAGTTCAGGAATAAGACAAGGATGCCCACTTTCACCACTTCTATTCAACATAGTACTGGAAGTCCTGACCAGAATAATTAAGCAAGAAAAAAAAATAAAAGGCATTCATATTGGAAATGAGGAAGTCAAATCGTTTCTATTTGCAGATGACATAATCTTATATCTAGAAAGTCTTAAAGACTTGACAAAAAACTATTAGAACTAGGAAATGAATTCAATAAGGTGTCAGAAGGCCAAATCAAAATATAAAAATATCATTGCTATACAAGGAAGGAAGGAAGGAAGGAAAGAAGGAGGGGGGGAGGGAGGGAAGGGAGGGAGTGAGGGAGGGAGGGAAGGGAGGGAGGGAGGGAGAGAGGGAAGAAGGGAGGGACTGATGGATGGAGGGAGGGAGGGAAGGAACGGAAGGAAGGAAAAAAGAAAGAAAGAAAAAACAAACAAACAAAAAACCCCCTAGGAATAAACTTAACCAAAGAGGTGAAAGATCTCTACACTGGAAACTATAAAACATTGATAAAAGAAATTAAAGAGGACACAAATAAATAGAAAGATGGTCCATGTTCATACACTGAAAGAATTAATGTTGTTAAAATAGCTATAAAATACCCAAAGCAATCTATAGATTTAATGCAATCCCTATCAAAACACCAATAATATTCTTCACAGAAATGTAAAAAACAATTCTAACATGTATATGGAATCACAAAAATCTCCAAATAGCCAAAGCAATCCTGAATAAACCTGGAGGCATCACACTATTTGACTTTAAAATATACTATTAATACAAAGCTATACTAACCCAAACAGCATGGTATTGGCATAAAAAGAGGCATGTAGAACAATGGCACAGAACAGAGAGCCCAGAAATGAATTCATAAATCTACAACTAACTGATTTTTCACAAAGGTGCCATGAACACACATTGGGGAAAGGACACTCTTTTCAATAAATGGGGCTGGAAAAATTGGATATCCAAATGCAGAAAAATGAGACACCCCCACTACCTCTCACCACATACAAAAATCAAATCAAAATGGATTAAAGACTTAAATGTAAAACTTAAAACTACGAAACTATGAGAACATCAGGGAAATGCTTGATGATATTTGGGCTGGGCAAGGATTTTTAAAGTAAGCCCTCAAAAGCACAGGCAACAAAAGCAAAAATGACAAACGGGATTATACCAAATAAAAAGCTTTTGTGCAGTGAAGGAAAGAGCTGACAGAGTGACAAGACAACCTACAGAATGGGATAAAAGATTTGCAAACTATCTGACAAGGAGTTAATACCCAGAATATATAAGCAACTTAAACAACTCAACAGCACAACTAGTTATTTAACCCAACTAAAAAATGGGCTAAAGACCTTAATAGCCATTTCTCAAAAGAAGACATACAAATGGCCAACATGAAAAATTTCAACATCACTAATCATTAGGGAAAATGCAAATCAAAACCACAATGAGATACCACCTCACTACAGTTAGAATGGCTATTCAAAAAGACAAAACAAGTGTTGGTGAGGATGTGAAGAAAAGGCAACATTTACACACTTTTGGTGGGAATGTAAATTAGTACAGCCATTATGGAAAACAGTATAGAAGTTCCTCAAAAAAATTGAAACTAGAACTACCATATAATCCAGCAACCCCCAGTATGGGTATTTATCCAAAGAAAATGAAATCAGTATATCAAAGAGGTATTTGCACTCCCATGTTTACTGCAGCACTATTCACAATAGCCAAGGTACAGAATCAACCCATGTGTTCAACAACAAATGAATGGATAAAGAAATTGTGGTGCATACACAGTGGAATACTATTGAGCCATAAAAAAGAATGCAATCCTATCATTTGCAACAACATGCACGAGCCCGGAGGACATTATGTTAAGTGAAATAAGCCAGACACAGAAAGACAAATACCAAATGATCTTACTCAGATGCAGAATCTTTTAAAAAGGTGATACAGAAGTAGAACAGTAGTTACCAAAAACCAGGGAGGGAATGGGAGAAGGAAGAATGGGGAGAAGTTGGTGAATGGGTATGAAGTGATAATTAAATAAGATTAATAAATTCTGGTGTTCTATTGCACAGTAGGGTAACTCTAGCTAACAGTAAGGTATTGTATACTACAAAATAGCTGAAGCAGAGGTTTTTAATGTTCTCAACATAAATAAATGATAAATGTGTAAGACAATAGGTATACTAACTATCCAGATTTGATCATTGTACAGCACATGCATAAACCAAAACATCAAATTGTGTTCCGTAAATATGTAGAATTACAATGTGTCAATTAAATTTTTATTTTAAAGGATAAATACAATGAGGGTCAATCTGAAGAGTGACATACACCTACATGCTGCATCTAGAACACAGTTATCTATATTCCTCCCTCCATTCTCCAACATGTGCCACTGATCGTCTTTGCCGGCAGGGGCGGGGTGGCGTCTCCCACATCCTTCTGCTTTTTTTGGTCCTAACATGATCACTCTGTAGTAGTAAGTTAAACCTATGATAGTAGCTTTCACTGATTGGTGTCACTTTATTGTGTCCCTATGTCCCAGGTACTCTGCTATTTTATATTACCTAACTCAACCTTTACTAGAATCTTACGAGGTAGGTTGTATCAGCCCCTTTTTAAAATGAGGAACTGAAGCCAGGCGAGGTGTGATGATTTACCCAGGAGGAAGCAAGTGTGGGAGTCAGGCTCCCCTTCACGTCCCCTTCCTCTGTCCCAGTCCTTGGCTCACTCAGGTGGCTTCTTGGAGCTCCAGAGTTTCCTGGCTTTCCAGGCTGTGGCCAACTCACCTCTCACCTCAGAGACCAGTCCAGTGCCTGCCAAACAGGCTCAGGGAATGGTGATTAATTCCATGGGACTCTCTGCCAGGGAACTGAGGCCCAGAGAGCAGAGATCAGAAGCATCAGCTGCCCAGGACTTTTGAGGTCCCTCATTGTGCTCATTGAGCAGGGCGCTGACCACCTTGTGGGCACAGAAGAAACGGTTCCCACTTCTCAGTGCAGAGTGGGTTAGGGAAGGAGGAAGGGGTGTGTGCAGAGTGCGTGTGAGTGTGCATCCATGTGATGCCTTCTGCAATGCAGCCATGTGTACTTTGGGATGTCTGATTCTGCACCAGCCCTGCCCTGCCTTTGTGAATCCCATGAATCCCCTAGTTCATTCCCCAGAATCCTGCCTTGGAGGTCTGAGGTAGATGTAGAGGTGGTGAGGCTGGCTTGTGCCAAATTGGAAGAACCAATTGTCATGCTCTAAGGAATTCTGCAAGCCAGTTGTGAAGCACCACCATTGTTTTTAAAAATTAAATTATATAAACCTATAATTAAATAAGTTATACTAAAAACAAAGATAAAAAAAGACTCAAAACTCATCTCTTCAAGCTGGGCACAGTGGTGGGCACCGATAGTCCCAGATACTCGGGAGGCTGAGGCAGGACGATTTCTTGAGCCCAGGAGTTTGACACCAGCCTGGGCAACACAGTGAGACCCTGTCTCTAAACAACAAAACGCATCACTTCCCTATTGTTTTGCTACCTTTTACTATCATCTATGCTCTTGGGATTATTTACATCTATTGCATCTGTATCATGTAAACACTGTTATGATGTGCTGTTGTGCATCGCTTTCCAACTCCATATTCAGTGACATCACCTCGCTTGACATCAGCCATGGTGGGAGCGTTTATATCATGGCAATAGGCAAACACTACAAAATCAGGGCTTGATTTATTGTTTTGTAGATTGCCTGTAAAGTGACAGAGAAAATGTTAATAATGCAGATTTAAAAACATGTTTGTAGCTATTACAGAGTGCATAGCAGAAATAATTGAGAAAATATTCTTCCAGAATTCAAAAACGTTTACCCCACTCAGCAAAGTAGCTCCTGACAATCAACAAACAAGTCCTGACTTACATCTAGTCTTTGTTGTTTCCCATTTGTCTTACTCCTTAACATAAATAAAAATATCAACCAATAATCATGTCGAAACTATGTTTACTCAGCAATTGCAATCATAGCTTGGCTACAGATGAATTCAGCAGAAATTAAGGAAAGCACTCTATGAGAATTAATTGGCTGAATGGAATTTGCAATAAAGATATTGTACATGTTTTATTTGTCAATTATGTAAAATGTATTATATCAGTATAATTTATAATAAGCTTATATATACATATGCATACTTTTTCAAGAGCCAGTTCTGATACATTTCCCAGCATACCACTGGGCACAAGTGACCTCGGCTCTGGCATTTCCTAAAATAATGAAGATGTCAGAGTTTCTAGGACCAAGGTCAACATTAACTATGCTTTAGAGGAAAGACAACAAGGGTAAATAAAAGAACTCAAGAGAAAGCCAGTGCCCCACCCTATGCTCTTCTCTCTATGCTCTGCATTGCACAAATCCTTTTTCCCTACTTTGTAAAATGAGGACATTGGACCAGACAAAATTTTTTAACTACCAGTCACAATTGTATGTGTTACATATATAACACACGACTCATAGTTACAATTATGACCCAGTTGAGATGCGTGTGTGCACACATGCATGTTTAACAAATTTCTGTGCATGCATGTTTAATGACTTTTCACAAAACAATACCCTTATCATGCTCAGTGCCCTTTGGTAGTCCTAATTTGGTTCAAGTCATTTGTACTCTGTCCCACTCATTTTGTACAATGCTGGTCATAAACACTAAATTGATTTTACAACCCACAAATGGGTTGCAACCAAGTGTTTGGAAAAAGAAAACACAAACAAACTTGACTATCAGATGATGCTAGGGGGCCGTCTGTCCATGAAGGCCTCTGACGCATTCTGCAAATATGTGTCTTCACACTGCAGGATCCTGAACACCCGCGACCTGCTCAGATGTGTAAACAGCAAATGAGGTCAGGTGGAAACTTTAGCTCAGACCTTATCGCCTCTCTGGGCCCTCCTCCTCGCTCCTCCCTGACCCAAAGTCATTCCCTCCTCCCTCCCACTTCTCCTCTCCCAGCCCCACTGAACTTGGCTGAGGGTCCTCTCTAGCACTCATCACATCTTCTTCATGCTATAGGGACGCCTTTCACATCTCATCTCTCGCTTTCCAGTTGTGAGGTTTTCAAAAGCTAGAAACACGTTTTATTCAACTGTGAATTCCAGCCGTCCCTTACCCAACCCCTACCCTGAGCTTCTGGACTTCAGACAAGGTACATAATAAATCCAAGTAAGTGCTTGCTGAATGAATGAGTGAGTGAAGGAAGGAAGGAAGGAAGGAAGGAGAGAATGCAGGAAGGGCAGGTGCCAGGGAGACATACACTCTGCACTGTGTGTACTTGGCCTGCATATGGCTGAGCTGTCTCCTGGCCCCTCATCCACTCGAAGTAGTGGAATCACAGACTAGCACCCACCCACGGGAAGTGTGAATGCCTCTGCACTCTCTGTCACTCTCCCTCCCCACAGGGCAGCCCTGAAGCTCCATTTGGGCACTGTCAGGGGTAGGAACCCTGTACCTCCCAGGCCGACCCTGCCATCTTGCTAAGTGAGCCAGGCTCAGTGGAAAAGCGTGGGCTTTGGAGCCAGGAAGACCATGAGAGTGAGTCCCAGCTCCACCACGCGCCAGCTGTGTGACTGTGGGCAAGCTGTGCCCCTCTCTGGGTCTTACTCTTCTCATCCTGAAAATGGATCCAGTGTCCCCCTTCCAGGGCTCTGTGTGGATGAGATACTATGAGAGTCGAGTGCCTGGCCTCATGCCCAAAGAGCAGTGCTTCTTTTCTCAATCTTTTCCCCGCTTTTGGACAGCTCTGACAAAAGAAAGGTGTTTTTCCTTTCACAGAACTGAAAGGGGACTGCCAGTGGTTGCGTTTCTACCCCCTCGGAGCCTGGACCCTGTCTGCTCCTCTGTCCCCAGAGCATCTGGTAAACAGTGGCGACCTCTCCCATTCCCCACAGGCTCTGCCTTCCATCCCCCAGCCCCAGTCCAGTGCCATGCATGGCTGTGCTCAGCCGAGCTGGCATCCCTGGCCTTCTGCTAGGGCTGAAAGTGCCAAGGACTCCACTACCTTTGGGCCCCTGACCGTGCAGTGAATTGCAGTCCCCACCTGGTTAACCAGGAGCCAGAGCGGCTGCCCATGCCTGGCCCCATGACCAATCTTACCCTTCCCTACTGCAGAAAGACTGACCCAAAGCCCAGCACCTTTGCCTAGCATGGGCCAGGTGCCCTCCTGAGCCACCGACCTCCTTTGAAGCCCTCATGTGAAGAGGCCCAGTCAGGAAAATCCACTTTGAGTCCATCCCAGCTCTGCTGCTAAGCACTGTGGCTCCTTAGGCTCAGGGGCCCCATAGGTCTCTGTTTGCTCACTTCTGAATTGAGGGGATGGGATGGACTGCTTGGGACACGGCCCAGTTTCACAGCCACCTGTCTACTGTTTGGAGCTAACTTTTCATAGGCCTGTGTACCCCACTGGATGGGGAGCTCTTCGAGGGCAGAGGCCCTTCTCATTTAGCTCCCTGTACCCAGCTCCTGCCCATACCTCTGGCAACAGTTGGCACTCACTCATGTTTCCTAAACGGGTGGATGGAAAGCTAACATCCCTCGAGGGTCTACTATGTGCCAAGCTTTGTTTTAAACATTTAGTATGTTTACCACCTCGTTTCATCCTCACAACAGCCCTATGGGAAAGGTACATTATCACCCCATTTCACAGATGAGGAAACTGAGGCACTGAAAGATCTAGAATGTTGTCCAAACTTACACAGCTAGCAAGTTGGGGAGCCAGGCATTGAATGCTAACAATCTGGATGATCGTAAAAGAACTCTCTGACTGCCGAGTTTTGATTTCAATATAATTTTCAGCTCCTATGGCCAGGGCAGTCTGGGCTCTCTCAGAATCAAGATGAGAGAATGGCAGGGGCTTGTGTAGGTTTGAGAACAAACTTCTGTATCAGATCACTTGTACACCACTTTAAGAATTCCCTGGAGAAAGCAGAATTCTTTTCAAAAATGAAATCCAGGCAGGGTGGTGGCTCGAGCCTATAATCCCAGCACTTTGGGAGGCTGACGGGGGAGGATCGCTTGAGCCTAGGAGTTCGAGACCAACCAAGGAAACACAAGGAGACCCCCATCTCTACAAAAAATAAAAGGCTTAGCTGGGCTTAGAGGTGCATGTCTATGGTCCCAGCTATTCAGGAGGCTGAGGTGGGGGGATCACCTGGGCCAGGGAGACCAAGGCTGCAGTGAGCTGTGATTGCACCACTGCACTCCAGCCTGGGTGACGAGTGAGGCTCTGTCTCAAACAAAAACACAAAAATGAAAACTGTGATGAAATAATAGGCTGCCTAGGAGAGGAGGAGGGGATGGGGGAGTATCAATGAAACAAGATTGGCCATGTGTTGACAGTTGTTGAAGCTGGCAGTTCATGATACTATTCCCTTTTCTTTTGCATGGGTTTGCATATTTCCATAATAAAAAGCTTAAATTTTTAAAATAAAATAAGAGGAAGTCCATGACTACCATAAACCCACATAAGTTTGCTGACTGTCTTTCTGGTTGTTTCCCGGTTTCTCCTTTTCCCCTGCAGGCCTGCCTCTGACAGCACCTCAGAGTGTCACATGCGGCCCCGCTGCCTTTCTCTCTTTGTGTGTTGGCTTGTCTCTATGTCTGCCACTTTCTGTGACCTTCTGAGAATCAAGGAAAAGTTCTGCAATCAAGCCCACACATAAACATCCCATTTTTATTTCATTTTCTCCCAGAGCCTCTCTCTTTCTTCTCTGTATGTCCAAATCTCTGTTCTCGTTGTGTTTGCCTTGACTTCTCCATTCATTTTGACCTTGCTGTATGGCTGGCTAGGAATGGTCAGCTCTGGCTGGTACCCCGGACATTAGAAAATGTGCATGGAGGGTATTTTCATGCATGTCTGAAAAGTTCAGAGAGTGCTACCACAAAAAAAATTGGTTGTTGAAGAAGACAAAAACTTTTCTTTTCTACCTCCTTTCTTTCTTAACTGTCTAATAAAGCCATACTCTTTTTCATTTCTTTTCACTTAATAAAAATAACAATAATAATAGCCATTGTTTATTGAATGTGTGCTGTGTGCTGGGCATTTGGATAAGGTTCTTATAGTTATTGTCTCATTTAACCCTTCACAACCTGTGTAACATGTATTCCCACTTCACGGATGAGAAAACTGAGGCTTCAGAGAGGTTAAGTAAAAGCCCAAAGTCACTTAGCTAGAGGCTGGCAGAGCTGGAGTTTGAACCCTTCTTATATTTTCCAAAGAGGAAACATATTCAGGCACTACAATGACATTAAGACATTGATAAAGGTTTCATGTCTGGGGTCCTTAGTGGGGACAGTGACACCCCTCCCCCACCCCTCACTGGTAGACAAATCTGAACTACATGCTCAGGCTGGGCCCTGCCCTGTGAGAAGGACCCTGACCAGCTGAACCATACCCAGGAAGAGGACCGTGATGGAGAGGGGGCCCTGAGAAGGATGGGTAGAAGCTCTCAGGGGCATGGTGCTGACTTCAAAGGAACATCAAGGGTCCAAGGGGCACAGCTGGCACCAAAAGGTAAGCCACATGCTCTGGGTCCATCCTGGACTTTCCCTCTAATTCCAGACCACAAGGCCAATTGTCAGCCTCCTGGTTATCTGTCTCTGGATGTCCCATGGGCACCCCAGTCGAACATGCCCCATCTGAACACCCCAACTTCCTGCTCCTCCCCTGGCATCCTCATCTCAGGAGTGGCACCACCCCCAACCCATTCATCCAAGTCAGGGACCCAAAGTCATCCTCCACTCCTTCCTCTCCAATCCCTGCCAAATCCAGACACATCTCTCCAACCTGACAGCCACCACCTTCGTCTAGGCCACTGTCCCCTTTGTCTGGACTATCTCAGTAGCCTCCTGCTTGGGCTCCTACCTCCTAACCATTTTCCATCCTGTGACCAGAGGGATCTTCCTAAAAATCCTCCTCTTAGCCTTTCCCTTCTCCCAGCCCAAGGGGCCAGCTGGAGACAGGGAGGAAAGGAAAAATGCTCTCAGACCTTCCAGTTCCAGTCTTTGCCCACCTCTGGCTGCCTCCTGTGCTCCCTGTCCACTGGTCTTGCAAGCCGTCCCTCTGGTCTGTTTCCAGCCTCAGGTCTTTTCCATCCACTGCACTCAGGCTCCCTCCTTCTTCCCGTGGGTGGGATTCTGGGAATCTCCTTTCCCAAGTGACTCTTATTATCCCTGTTGGTGTTTTCTTTTTTTTTTAAATTTTATTATTATTATTATACTTTAAGTTTTAGGGTACATGTGCACAACATGCAGGTTTGTTACATATGTATACATGTGCCACGTTGGTGTGCTGCACCCATTAACTCATCATTTACATTAGGTATATCTCCTAATGCTATTCCTCCCCACTCCCCGCACCCCACAACAGTCCCCAGAGTGTGATATTCCCCTTCCTGTGTCCATGTGTTCTCATTGTTCAGTTCCCACCTATGAGTGAGAACATGCGGTGTTTGGTTTTTTGTCCTTGTGATAGTTTGCTGAGAATGATGGTTTCCAGTTTCATCCATGTCCCTACAAAGGACATGAACTCATCATTTTTTATGGCTGCACAGTATTCCGTGGTGTATATGTGCCACATTTTCTTAATCCAGTCTATCATTGTTGGACATTTAGGTTGGTTCCAAGTCTTTGCTATTGTGAATAGTGCCGCTGTAAACATACGTGTACATGTGTCTTTATAGCAGCATGATTTATAATCCTTTGGGTCTATACCCAGTAATGGGATGGCTGGGTCAAATGGTATTTCTAGTTCTAGATCCCTGAGGAATCGCCACACTGACTTCCACAATGGTTGAACTAGTTTACAGTCCCACCCCTGTTGGTGTTTTCTTGGCTCATTTCCCTCTTTGATCCCCCACAGTTCAAAACAGATATTGTGACGCCAGAAGTGATGGTTGGATTTTTTGTTATATTTTGGAGTAGGCTTTCAGTTCTTGGATCTAAAACATTTGAAGGTTAGAATAAGAATTCTTAATTCCTGCCATCGGGGCAAGACTTTACAGATCTCGAATCCTTTCACATTCTTGTTCTCATATGATCTTCACAAAGCTGTGGTTTAGGTAAGGCAGGGGGTATCACCCCTGATTCAGAGATGAGGAAACTCCAGGATTTGAACCCAGGCCCCCTAACAACACATCTGGGCTCTGCCCACTCCACTCTGTCTCTGAACTGAAGATGAAAGGAAATCTATTCGCTGACCAAGTAACCTATCTATGTCATTTCCTCCATGCCAGCCTGTCTACAAATTAGCTAAAACATGCCTTTCTCCTGGTTTTCATTAAACACCAGCATCAAAGAAGACAGTTGCTAGGAACATGCCGCTATCCAGCATGACTTGTCTCAGATCTGCCTCTTAAAGCTTACCTGGTGTTTTTGGGAAGCATCTTGGAGCAAGGGTACCACGTGCAGCCCTGGTGGGCAACGCGTTGGCAAAGGAGGCTTCTCTCAATTGTTCTTCAGGCTCCTCTGGGCTCTTGGATGTCACTGCTTCTGATGAGCTGATGTTCTGCCCAGTTCTCGTCACAGCACTGAAAAACTCAGAGAAAAGGCAAACTTCCAGCAAATATTTACCTAAGAAATGAAAGCAAGCAGGCAGCCCACTTCCTCATTCCAGAACACTGCTGACTATTCAGCTCTTCCTCCCCTTCTCATGCTGCAAATGTAGGACTTACACTCCTATTTCCTCTCTCCTGGGCTCTTGTGGACCCTTTCAAGCTCCTGCTGTGGGCACCATCCCCCTGAGCTGTCAGAGCTTCGCCCAGCAGCCATGGCCCCTTTGGTTAGCTGTAAAAATTATTACCGGAAATAAACTAGGACTCTGCCTTAAGGCAACACACTAGGACCACGGGCTTCCAGATTCTCTTGGAAACAAAGCAGCCCATTCGCGAGGAGAACAGGCCGGAGACAAGTTCAGAACTGAATTCCAACCACATGGCAGGACACGCTAGCTGTCCACCAGGTGTTCCTGCTCCCTTTCTATAAAGTAAGGATCTTTTCATCCCAGGCCATACTTCCCAGCCACCCCAGCATCTAGGGACAGACATGGACTAGGTCTCACCCATGGAGTGTGAGCCAAAGTGATGTGTGTCACTTCTAGGCCAAGATGGCCAAGGAACAAGCGTGTCTTTCCCACCTTCTCCTTCCCCATCTGTTGGTTGGACTCTAAGGCTCTGAAGGATATAGAATCACAGGATGGAAGGCATCTGGGTCCATGAATCACCCTGCAGACAAAACTGTCCTCTACACAGGCTGTCCTCTCACAGACTAGTGCATGAGCAAGAAGCAAAGTTCTATTGTAATAAGCGGGTGAAGAGTGGGGCTTATTTGTTTTAGCAGCTGGTGTTACCATAGCAGACACAGCACAGAATGTAGAGGACTTGCAAGCACCACATGGTCCATCCTTTATTTTAAGGATAAAGCTTCATTTTGATGTAATTACCTCTTTAAATGTCCTATCTCCAAATACAGTTACATTCTAAGGTACTGAGAGTTAGGGCTTCAACACAGGAATTCGGGAGGGAGATACAGTTCAGTCCATAACACCCCTGATTGAATCAGCCATGGCGGAGTAGGAGACAGTCATGGAGGCAGTAAATAGACACCATAACTGACAAACCCAGGCCATTTGTGTTTGCCAACCCTGACCTCTTCACTCCTGCCTGGAGTGGCTCCTCCCACCTCTACTGATCGGCATCACTCTTGTTCATTAAATCCTGCCTCAAGCAGAATCTGCATGAAGTATCTTCTGATCTGCCGTGATGCAATATTCTGTCTGGACTTGGCCTACATCCTTTTATGTCATAAGTTTATTTGTTCATTTAACACATACTTACGGAGAAATAGTCAGGTGCAGTGGTTCCAAGTGTGGACTTGAGGGCCAACTCCATCATTTACCAGCTGTGTAACTTCAAGCAAGTTTCATTGTTAACCTCCCTGAGCCTCAGTTTTATCTAAGATAAGCTATGACCACCTTATGGACAGTGGGGCTGAAATGAGCTAGTAGATATAAAATACTTAGCAGGGTACCTGACAGACAGTAAGCACTCAGTGAACATTGGCTATCATTGGGAGCCGACTATGTGCCAGGTACTGAGCACACAGTCACAAAGTCACAGCCCCCTTCTAGGCCAGAGTGGCTTGGAAGCCACAGCTAGATCTGATTCAGCATGATATCTGGGATACAGGGGAGGCCCCATACATACTTATTCTCAAAATGAAAATGATGAAAGAAAAAAGAGAATGAGAAATACAAAGATTGAGTACAACATACCTCTTTTGCTGAATGTCTAAAAGCAAAGAATCACTGTAAATGCATTTCCTCTGAAACCAGGCTGTCTCCTTCACTGATAGAAGCAGTTCTTGGTACATCTTCGTCACATGGTTCATAAAAAAGAATTGCAAAGCTCTTCTCCTTCTAGGCACACAGAGATGCTCTCTTCCAGGAGTGCCCATCCAAAACGTGCTTCCTGGCTCCACTTCCCAGACTTCAAATGGATATTTTAAATTCTTGGATGATTGTGGCAAGTTTCCTCATAATCTTACAATTCCTCTCTTCATACCATTAAGGAAGAGTCATTATTGAGTTGTCACCAACCACTCTGGGGACACTGGGAAGGCAGCCATCTTAAAGTGGGGGAAAATAAAAAGCTAAGACATTGGCTTTAAAATGCTTAAATTCTGGACATTGGTTTTAAAATGCTTAAATTCCGGAAAATTTGGTTCATAGTAGTAAAGATTTACTTCTGAGGGGCTGTCATGCTCCAGGCTTGGACCCTTTTGAAACCAGCATGATAGATTTCATTTCCCTTCTCTTGGGCTTTCTCATTTTTGTGCTGAACTCAAACATAGAACTTGACATGTATCTCCAGAACATTTCAACATTTGATTTCTCTTCACCATGCTAAGCTATGCAAGCCTTTTTGAATATTGCTTTTCCTATCCAACGTATATTAATTTCTTTGGGGGCATTTGAATACTCTGAGTTCATCTAGGTTACCGATAAAAACATTGACGAGAACAGAGCCCTATAGCACTCCACTACCGACTTTTTTCCAGGAGTTAATGCAATGGTGCTGCAGTTGGCAGAGAGTGAGGAAAGAGATTACTGACTGCACCAGACCCAGGTTAGGAAGAGTTACTGTACTGGGGCCCTGTATGTAGCAGGGTTCACAGCCTGGGTGATGTCACAGAAGGAAATTCAACAGTGTATCACAAAGGTTGTGCTTGTTTCCTGAGTGTTGTAAGCTTATCACAGGCCAGCTTCTAGTTATTCTCTAGAGATATGGTTTAATTACTAACTTTAGAAACAAAAAAACTCAGATATCTAGAAGACCTAGTGCAATTTCTTCATTAAGTTGTGAAAGGAAAATCTGTCTCAGACCCTCACTAAGCTAAAGGGAAAAGTCAAGCTGGGAACTAAGTCAGGCAAATCTACTTCCCATTTTATTTCTAAATAAGATAGCCACAAAGCTTCAATTTAAAAAAAAAGCTACATACCTTTCTCATAATTTACCCACAAGGAAATTCTCTGTGGGCCTCAGGGTCTTTACCCTAAAACAGTTCTGTTGAATTTCACCTTGGCTATGTAAATTGATGGCTTATCTTCACACGTGCAGTACAAAGGACAGACAGAACTCAAAGTTATCCCTTTGTTCACCCCAGACAAATGCATATCTGATTGCTTCCTCTACCCTATTGTTTATGTAAAAGTGCAGATTCACTGAGCCAGACTAAGGGATAAGTGACTATTCCTCTACCCTCCTCTCACATGTAAACTGTGTATTCGGGGAAAGGCTAATCAGACACTCAAAAGAATGCAACCATTTGTCTCTTATCTACCTATGACCGAGAAGCCCCCACTTTGGCTTGTCCCACCACACCAGACAGAACCAATGTACTTCTTACACATGTTGATTGATGTCTCATCTCTTCCTAAAATGTATAAAACCAAGCTGTGCCCCGACCACCTTGGGCACATGTCGTCAGCACCTCCTCAGGCTGTATCACGAGTGTGTCCTTAACCCTGGCAAAACAAACTTTCTAAACTGATTGAAACCTGTCTCCGATATTTTTGGGTTCACAAAGTAATATCAATGGCTTTCTGGGACAGATAGAGTTTTGACTTGGGACTATTTTTCTCTCTTTGACAAGGAATGAAACCAACCTATATTCTGATCCTGCTCCTTCCCTGTTCTCTAACAGGTTTGCTTCCCCTCTGCTAGTAGAAGAAAGACAATCTTTTTAGCTGGGCATTCAGCGACCTTTGTAATCTATCCCCAACTAATCTTTCCAGACTATTCTAGAGAAAACTCAACTCTGGATAAGCCCACAGGAGAGCTGGGACTAACCTCTCAGGCCTATCCACCTCCCCTGTCTTCACTCATTCATTCACATCACAAAAATTTCAAAGTACTTATGTACCAAGGACTATGCTAGTCCCTGAGGATAAATGCTCTTGGGACACACCTTGTTTCTTCTTCCCAGGGAGGACAAGATCCTGGCTTCAGCACAGTATTCACCCTAGGGAGAGTTTGTGTTTTGCAATTTCACACAGACAGAATTCAGATCACAAAGGAAGAGATTACTGCATCAGAAAGCTGGCTGTGACCAGTTACCATGATGGGGCCTGTGAACAGGCAGGAGCGGAAGATCAGATTCTGCAAAGGCCATTTCTAGAGCACCAGGAGTGGGACCCATTTAAACTGAAGGCCAACCATGTATAAGAAAGAGCTCTGGGCTGACATACCGAGAAACTTGGGTGCTTGCCCCAGCTCTGCCCTGAAGAGCTGTGTGACCTTGAGTGAGTCCTCTCCTATTCTGCGCTGCAGGATGGAAAGTGAATATGGCCCCCAAAGACCCCTTTTTACCTGACTCAGTGCAGGTGTCATCTCTGTAGCTTTCCATGACCTCCCTCACCAACCTATTGCTTCAGGCATACCTCTGAACATTCACTGACTTCTGTATGCATTTCTGTTCTCTCCACCTGATAGACTCCTTATTCCAGCACTGTGGCTTGTAATTATTAGCAAATACATACTGAATTCAGAAATAAGGAACATCATCATTTCTAGATCTGTAATTCCAGCATTACCCACAAGGTGGCAATTTCCTACACGTGGTCCCAGCACAAACCTTACATTTGGATAGAAGCCCCAGGAAGGGCCAGGTGCAGTGGCTCATGCCTGTAATCCCAACACTTTGGGAGGCCAAGGTGGGAGGATTGCTTGAGTCCAGAAGTTCAAGGCTCCAGTGAGCTATGATTGCACCACTGCACTCCAGCCTGTGAGACACAGGAAAGGAGAACCAGAAGGACTTTCCAAAAGGCTCATCCTGTGGCCCCTGGTGGGTACGTGCTGTCCCCTTCCCCTCCACTTGTGAAGTCTCTGTCTGTCAGAAAGCAATACAGGCCTGCTCTACTGTGGCCAAGCCTAGGTTGCACTATTTCCAAGCTTCTCAGCTGGCCAGGAAAGACTGATGGTCTGGCTCTTACTGACGTCTCAGGTTTCCCCTCCTATGTCTCCACACCCCACACAACACCACAGCTGTGCTGAGCTTGCTCCTGCTCTTGACTGTGCTGTCCTCTCTCTGGTCCTCATGCCTTCCCATACACTGTTCCCTCCATGTGGATTCCCCTTCTGTATCATCCTTCCAGGCCAAAACCTACTGGCTCTCTGAAATTTAATTTAGGAAGTGCTCTGTCCAGGAGCTTTCCTTGACTCTCTTTTCCCCGAATACTCTTCAGTAGTAACATTCATTGAGCTGAAATTGCTTCCCTATCCACCCTACCTGGGCCACCTTCTTGAGCACACAGAGCATGGCTTCCTCAGCTACTCCCCAGTGTCCAGCACAGGCCAGGTGTACAGCGAGCCTTCTGAGAGCTTGCTGGATGAAGAACAAATGAGTCAATGCATCAGTGAATCTACAGATTAGGGATGTGATGTGGCAAGATGAACTGAGACCTGTACCCCTCCCCGGTATGGAAGAAATTTGAGAATAAGTGGGGGAAGAAGCTACAGCAGGTCCTTGAATAAAGTTGTCACATTCAACGCGATTTTTTTACAACATTGATGAGAAAAAAGGAAACCACCTCCAGCCAGGACCACTGTCTGTGTGGAGTTTGCACGTTATCCTCATGTCTGTGTGGGTTTTCTCCAGGAGATGCCTGAAGATGTGCACCACTGAGGGGAACTGGCGTGTCTGCATGGTCCCAGTGTGAGTGACTGTGGGTGTGTGTGAGCGTGCCCTGCGATGGTCAGGGTCAGTTCCTGCCTTGTGCTCTGAGCTGCTCAGATAGGGTTCAGCTCTTGCAACCCTGAGTAATAATTATCTTGTTCTTATTAATTTTTCTTAAATGTACCTATAGTTCACATTCATTTTAATGTTTATGATTAGAAGTATTTGGGGTTTTTATTTAGAAGTTTGGTAACGTTTTTATAACCAGAAATATGCCATAGGAACTTAACCTCTTGTCTGTATCAATGAGCCTACGTAAAATTGGTTTTGTTATACGTTGTCTCACTTAAAGTCAGTTTCCAAGAACCTATCCACGGTGTTAAAGAAGGACTTGCTGTGTAATTTTTTGTTGATCTGGATCAGAAAGCAATCAAGTGCTCTTAGCACAATAATGGTACATTATTATTTTGAAAGGAAAAAGGCCAAAGACATGAAAAAGGGGGCAGGTGCTTTCCTCCTATGAGACTAGGCTGTGCTGCCTTCTAAGAAAGTGAATTCTCCCATTGGCAAGATGAATTCTCTTTCAATTATTTGTGAGGAAACTGGCAGCAGATATTTTACCCTCCTGGTCAGAAAGGAAGTTCCAGGGCCTTCCACTTTGTGTCACAGAGCTGATGCTGGGATTTTGCTGGTTGCCAAGTGCATCTATTCTATTTAGGAAGTGGGGAAGTAACCACAGGATGTGTGCTCTGTGATCTGAACTTGGGCCCTGAGTGCTGTATTCCCCGACTTTGACTGTGGGCTATGGTGGTTCACTCTCGTAAACGGTCAGAGGTCCCTCTGGGGAGGGCTTACAGGATGGTTTATAGGATACATTTGTAAAGAGTCCTTCTTTAAGGGGACCCAGCCGTCCTTTCAAAGAAGAGGCTCTGGGTTAATACTAGGTCTGAAAATGGACAAGAAATTCTGGCTGTCCACTGTGGTGATTGAAATCAGCTTCTAGACACCAGATATGGAGTTTTCCCTGTTACATAAAGCACACAGCATTTTAGTAAGATGCCCATCTCTTTCAGTCCTAGGGACACTGTGACAACTAGCCAATGACAAGATTCCTGTGAGTCAAGACACAGTGATGTCCACCATTTTACTCCATTTTACTGCCCATTACAGTGTATGTGCCCTGCTCTGCCCTTGGCAGTTGGATGCTACCACTTGGCCTCTGCTATTCTGGGATCCCATGATTCCCAGTGGATTAAGGAGCCCATCACAGTGGTGTCATCTCTTATCTTCATATGTGGCCAATAGAGGAGAGCCACCACCAAGTCTTCAAGGATAGTAGTGGTCCCCTCGCTAATGAATTTCCCAATGTCATAGTGAAGGGAATGTCCTCTGGGCCCCCTTGGAGAATGTAGTGGTTGGTTGGGTGGGTGAGTGTGCGAGTTGTCTATAACAAATCTATTCCAACATCTCCCTAAGCCTTCTTATCCCATCCCCTACAACACACCAAGGATGTTCTGGCACCTCAATGTCTTTAAATATAGGTCACCATTGAGTCCCAGTTCCACTCAAACAGCTAAGTAAACTATAGAGCCCCTTCCCCCTGCACAAATCAACACATTGAATCCAGAATCTCTGATCAGTGTACCTGTATCAATAAATTTGACTTGATGCTAAGTTCTATTCTGCCTTCCTTGGTCTAACACCCTAAGAATCTATTCATGCACATATTCTCCAGGTTTCTACAATGTAATGTATCAAAATCTTGCCATTTTTTTGGTGTAGAAGCTAAATCTTCCCAGGGTAAACCTTGTATGTGCCCTACTCAAGTACATAGAGTTCTGATGTCAGTTGAAAGTCTAGTGGCCACAAGCCCTAGGTTTTGAGGAGAAAAGGTATCTCTTGCAAGGCAACTGCCTTGGGTGATCTTAACACAGGGTCCTTAAGCAAGGGAAAGAGAGTCTTCTCAGACATGACAGGCAAGCTGCTTCCATTGGCAAAGGAAGCTCAGAATGACTCAAGGGTTCAGGATTCTCAGCTTCATCTGAGTCCACCCAGATTTCTCCATTCCAAGTCTCAGGTTCTCATTCCCTAACTTTCACATAAGAGACTGGAAAGCCTGTGAATTCAACTTATAATTATGCAACACACACAATTACATTTTTTGTGTCATTTTCAGCAATACTGACCCTGTAGCTGCAAGAAATGTATTCTTATTTATCATTTAAATAAATAATTTGTATGATTATTGAAGCATATTTATAGTTAAGCTTTCTAGTTCTCTGATTGTGACCCATCTTTGACAGTTGTTTCCTGGGACCACTCCTGGTTCTATTAGCTAGATCACTCAGGCCTACCTAGTCAGATGACAAATAGAATTCATTTCTCTTTTTTTCTTTTTCAGGCATGCAACAGCTCTGTTCCCCAGGCTGGAGTGCAGTGGCTTGATCACAGCTCACTGCAGTCTTGAACTTCAAGGCTCAAGTGATCCCCCTACCTCAGCCTCCTGGGTAGCTGGAGGCATGTACCACCATGCCCAGCAAACTTTACATGTTTTTGCTAGTAGAAAAGAGGTCTCACTATGTTGCCCAGGCTGTTGAAGTCCTGACACAATCCTCCCCACAAACCTTGGGAGGTACAGGGATTACAGGCATGAGCCACTGTGCCAAGCCTACAAATGGAATGTAATATAAAGAATTATTGGGCCAGGCATGGTGGCTCACGCCTCTAATCCCAGCACTTTGGGAGGCCGAGGCACGTGGATCACCTGAGGTCAGGAGTTCGAGACCAGCCTGACCAACATGGCGAAACCCTGTCTCTACTAAAAATACAAAAATTAGCTGGGCGTGACAGCATGCACCTGTAGTCCCAGCTACTCGAGAGGCTGAGGCAGGAGAATCGCTTGAACTCAGGAGGTGGAGGTCGCAGTGAGCCAAGATAATGCCACTGCACTCCATCCTGGGTGACAGAGTGAGACTCCGTCTCAAAAAATAATAATTAAAAAAAAAAAAAGAATTATTGGCTGGGCACAGTGGCTCATGCCTGTAATCTGAGCACTTTGGGAGGCTGAGGTGGGCGGATCACTTGAGTTCAGGAGTTCAAGACTGGGATCGACAACATGGCAAAACCCTGTCTCTACAAAAAAAATACAAAAATTTAGCCAGGCATAGTGGCAAATGCCTGTAGTCCCAGCTACTCAGGAGGCTGAGGCAGGAGGATGGTTTGAGCACAAGAGGCAGAAGTTGCAGTAAACCAATATCGTGCTACTGCATTCCAGCCTGGGCGACAGAGCCAGACCCTGTCTCAAAAAAAAGAAGAAGAAGAGGAATTATTAACTAGGCAACTTGGAGGTAGCAACTGTGAAGCAGCTACCACCATGAGGGCTAGGAGAACAATGGAAATGGCTGGAATGACTAAAACTTAGATGCGTATAAGAGGGGTCCTTGGAGCTCAAACTGAGACCTCTGCAGGGTGTGCCACTAGGCTGATGCTAGTGTCACTGAGCTTGGAGAAAGAACCCCAGGGGGGCTGGGGCAGTTCATTCTGGGTGGGCCTGAACTCTAAAATCTTATCAGCACTGTGTGAGCCCCAAATCTCTGCTCAGCTCTCACCTCCCAGCAGCCTCCCTCAAGTCTTGCCCTGTACTTGTGCAGTACAGGGTCAGCCAAAGGTCTAAGACTTGTGGGATTCCCTCTCTGTGGTTCCTCATTTTCTGTCCTAGATCCCCAAATCTCTGCCTTACTCCTGAATTCTGATGTCTACCTCTTCTGTCCAGTGAGACCACTTGGCCTCCACCTCCCTGCAGAGTGGCCTGGAAAGTGTCCCCAGGGAGAATGCTTGGGTAGATGTGGGGCTCACATTGTGTACCCCCTGACGCTCTCAAGGATCACAGCCCTGTATTAGAACACTGTCCAGTGCCTGTCCATAGCTGTTTTCTTTAATTTGTCCAAGTTATATAGTGGTTTACAGCAGAACAGCAAATCCTCTACCATTCTTTTTCGTCTGCTCAGTATCTGAATTCCCATCTTTGCAGAGTTCTACATCTTGCTACATCCCCTTGCATGCAATATTGAAGTGAAATCTGTCTCCCTAAAAATCCCATCTGTCATTTATGGAACTTCCCTCTAGAAATTCACCTTGCCTTCTGCTCTGTAATCGCCCACCAGAGGTCTGGAGAAAGGGCTTTCACCTTCCTTTAGCTTGGAGAAGACTATCTATGATTGCCCTGACTATTAAAGCTTGAGGTTCAAATCCATGGCCTATTTATGGAGTGGCCTTTGCTCAACTGAGCTTCTATTCTCTTCCTCTGTGCTGGAAGCTCCCCAAGGACAGAGAATATCTGCCATTTATCTCTACGTTCAAGGGAGGAATTAATGGATGGGACATTCATACCCACTTCAGCAGCTGCCGGGTGGGCACACATCTGCTCTGAATGGGGGATTGGCTAGTCTTCCCTGTGTTGTGTTTGTTTTCAGGCTGGAGGCTGAAGAGGAAGAAAATCACACCCATTCTTGTTGCCTAATTACTTACCCAGGTGCATGGGATCTCTCCACCTGCCAGACAACAGAGGCACCTCAACCCCCCTTCCCGACTGGGAGAATTTGTCCCTACTTTCTCCTATCATCTTAGGGGGCCCACAGGTGTGGCCCACAGTGTTAACTGGTACTCTGGGAACCAGAGAGATGAAAGAGCACAAATGCCTCTGCTGGGCTATGGGCTTGCAGGCAATTTTAAAAGGAAATAGACATGACTGATCACCTTCAAAGCTTGGGAATGTTTTCTCCACCCAGATACAGGGGCTTTGATGCCACAGGCTCAGTGTTGGAAAATGAGTCTTCTGATTTAATTCTCAAAGAGTCGTTATGCATACATAGTACTCTCCCTACCATTTAAAAGGAATGTAGATCATATGTAAATGCGCCTCTGTGAGATTGTGTATCCTAACCTGCATTAAGCACACATTAATTTCATTATGACACCGTTCACTTACTCCTCCTTTAATGTCTGCATAAAAAGCAGGCAAATCATTTCTGTACACATTTATTTCTCAATCATGACCATGTTTTGTCCAGTCCAGGTCTCAGGGTCGGGCACTGTACTACAGGAATGGTGGCTCAGTTTGAGGTAATCAAACGTCAACTCCCCTGACCCCTACTTCTGACCCCCTCCATGCTCCTTGCCAAGACTCATTCTTAAACTCCTTCTTTGACAAGGACCTCACTATCTCTGGAGCAGCCTGATCTCTCTTTGGACAACTATGAACCATTAGAAAGTCTGAACTTACCAGCAAAGTTGTCCCTGAAAAGCAGCATGGAGTTCGCTTATCTCTTTTGTTTGCAAATCCTGCTTTGTTCATTTAACATTATAAGTGTTTCCTTCTCATAGTGAGACCCCATCTCTGAAAAAAAAAAATTGTTTAAATTAGCCAGGCGTGGTGGTGCTCACCTATAGTCCTAGATACTCAGGAGGCTGAGTGGGGGAGGACGGCTTGAGGCTCAGGAGTTTGAGGCTGCAGTGAGCTATGATCATGACATTGCACTCCAACCTGGGCAGCAGAATGAGGTACCATCTCTTTTTTTTTTTTTTTTTAAAAAAAGGGTTTCCTTCACATCATTAAAAACAATCTTAAATTTTTGCATGTTTACACATTCACATATTTACAAATATGCCATTACATTAGATGTGCACTTTTTAACCGCTATTTTACTAAACAATGTATTATAAACATGTTTTCATTTCTATTAACCCATATTTTCTTTCTAATTGTTAATGCCTGCATAATCCTCTATTGTTAGATGTACCATAATTTATTTAACGATTGCCTCTCGGTGGGCATTTAGGTCGTTAACTTTTTTTATTTTTATTTTATTTATTTATTTATTTTTTGCTATAGTAACCAACTCCAGGATGAAATCTTCACACATAGTGATCATTTTTTTAGGAGAGATTCCTGGAAGAGCACAGAGGGGTCAAGCGGTGAGAGCACTTTAAAAGGCCACTCCTGGTAAAGACAGCAGCCTCCAGGTTGAAAGTCACTGTTGATAGGTTCTGAGAGCTGCGCTGAGTGCATTACCAACATTGTTATATTTATTCCTTACCACCACCCCTTCATGGTGCCTAACCGCCCCTGCTCTGTGTGGCTGATTGTAAGGTAAGGCCTGGCGTGGACCAGGCAGATGGCCCTCCTCTGACCACCACATAAAGTGGCCTCAGAAGAGGCTCCTTTCTGGGGATAAGAAGACTGCAAACTGGGAAGGAACTGGGCTTGAAAAGCAAAATGAACCCCACCCAAGAACGGTGTAGCTGGTCTTCCCAGGCTGCAAGAGGCTTTCTCCATCTCCAGGAGTTCAGCAAAGAAAAAACAATAGAGCACAAGACACATGAGGGGTGGCCAGTAAAGGCAGGAAAAGTCTCCTATAAAACCTGCTCAGCGAGTCCCTCCCTCCATCCAGTGCATTTACCCAGCAACACATCAAATCCCAGCAGCCAAGACTCTCTTAGGTTTCTCGTCTGGGTGCCCTGCCAGAACTCAGGCAGGATGGTGTGCACAGAGCCTGGCCCAGAGAAGGCGCAACGGCGGCATGAATAACTGACTACAAGAAACTGCATCTTTCCAACATGCATTCCCCAGTAAGCCACAGGTACACTGACCCTTGTGCACCAAGACTTCATCAAAGCATTATTCGTATTAACCAAAGGATGGAAAATAAGTGGTTAAATAACTGCAACTAAACCCTGTGGAAAGGCCACTCTGTATGAACTCCAAAATATATCACCATATCTCATCACAACAAAGTCACTGTGGACGGAGATGTACCATGACTTTATGCAGCATTAAGAAACACACTCACAGAGCCAATGAACTATGCTCCCATTGATTGTATAAGAAACCCAGTTTCACAGATGACAAGAGGTGGGGAAACTGTGAAACACTGTAAGTGCAAAAACCAAGTGCAGACTAATGTGTATGGCACGCTACTCTGTGTGTGTGAGAGAGAAACAGAGTGTGTGTGTTTTAAAGGAAGGGGCTTTTTTAGGCACATGTACTTTTATAGGCATAGAGAAAATTTCTGAAAAGATATACAAAAACCCGATAGCAAGAGTGGCCTCTGGAAGCCGAGTTGGAGGATGGGGATACAAGGTGGTAGGGTAACCCTCTTTTCATCCTTAGATGTATATGTAAAATCTACATTTTAAACCATATATTCTCTTTATAAAATAAAACTTTGAAAACTACTGAATGCAAAATAAAATTAAATAAAATAGCGCATCCTTCTGGGAGGATTTACGGGCATACTATCTGGAGCCAGCCTTGGATCCGGAGACCGTACGGTTATCCAATCCTGACTCTGCCATAGCGACCTCGGGCAAGTTGTCGCCCCGACTGGGTCTCGGTTCCCTCAAGAGTCCAATCGGAGGTCGGAGAGCTGCTCTCGGGGCGACCCTCCAGCTCGGAGACCCGGGCCGCGGGCACCGCGCGGGTCCCGGGCTGGAGCAGCGGTCTGCGGGCGCCCCGCGGTGCAGGCCCGGCCAATCAGCGGCCGCGGGGCGGGAGCGGTGACTGCTCGGCGGGCGCGGAGCGGAGCGCGAAGCAGAGGCGCCGCCGCTGTCCCGGAGCAAGCCATGCCGCGCTTGTCTCTGCTCTTGCCGCTGCTGCTTCTGCTGCTGCTGCCGCTGCTGCCGCCGCTGTCCCCGAGCCTTGGGATCCGCGACGTGGGCGGCCGGCGCCCCAAGTGTGGTCCGTGCCGGCCAGAGGGCTGCCCGGCGCCTGCGCCCTGCCCGGCGCCCGGGATCTCGGCGCTCGACGAGTGCGGCTGCTGCGCCCGCTGCCTGGGAGCCGAGGGCGCGAGCTGCGGGGGCCGCGCCGGCGGGCGCTGTGGCCCCGGCCTGGTATGCGCGAGCCAGGCCGCTGGGGCAGCGCCCGAGGGCACCGGGCTCTGCGTGTGCGCGCAGCGCGGCACCGTCTGCGGCTCCGACGGTCGCTCGTACCCCAGCGTCTGCGCGCTGCGCCTGCGCGCTCGGCACACGCCCCGCGCGCACCCCGGTCACCTGCACAAGGCGCGCGACGGCCCTTGCGAGTTCGGTGAGTCAGGGTCGGGGATTGGGTGGGTAGAGAAGGAGGGATTCCAACCCTCTGGGGTGTGGAGCGAAGGATCCCCCTGCCCAGTGGTGGACGGCGCTGCCTGGCACTCAGTTTCCCCTTAGGGAGCAGTATTTCATATCTCTCCTCGTGCTCAGAGAGACTGGGGCGAGAATCCTTGGAGACGCCACTCACTGTGCTAGTCGAATTTTTGGTGAGCCTGCTACCCCTTTTGGTACTTAAGTACCTGCTGATGCAGTCACTTATTTGTAGGCATGGTATGTTTGCCCAGCAGGAGACTGGGAGTTAAGGAGGGGGATCCGAGTTCCCAGGTATCCAGCGCTAGGTGGATTGTTTGAATGGGGAGGAAGGGAAGTTGAGGTTGGGGGAGGAAGGGAAGTAGAGGATAGGGGAGGAAGGGAAGTTGAGGATGCAGGAGGAGGATGAGTTCCAGACTGGGGAATCAGTAGTCACCAGGCCACAGCACCAGAGCACCAGGGCCCCCGGTGTGGGAAGGGGCTGAGCTGGGATGCTGAGGGAGCTCCATCCAGGAGAAGTAAGACCTTTGGAGACGTAAGGTCTGAAAAGATTGTGGTGCTATTAGGGGCAGACTCAGGTTTCGTGCTTCTAAAACATATATAATTTGGAGAGTCCTGCCTTAAGTAAAGGAATAGAACTGCTAGGGACTTAGAAACTTATTATGAAATGCTAGGGACTTAGAAACTTAAGCTTCATTAACATCACAGTAAAATAATCTCTGAGTGCTATAGTTGCCCACCCTCTTTATGTACCTTTTGAAAACCAAACAAAAAGAAACCAAAACGTTAGCACTGCTTTACCGGCTTCCTAAGCATGAGTGTATTCCACCCACTAGGTTTTGAAGTGCCGCTGTGTACTTTGCCTGGAGTGGGCAGTGCTGAGTTTAGGGTGAGTGAGAAGGTGGCCAGTGAGTCCCAAGGAGCCTGGGTTTCGGCCTGGAGTTCAGGCTTCTGGGAAATAATTCTGGCCTGAGCCCAGAGACCAAGTCCAGACTTTAGTGCCTAAGTCAGTGTAATGACTTAGCTTCAAGAAAGAAGCCTGGGGTGGGGTGAGACCTTTCCAAGCCTTAAGAAGTATCTAGTAGTCTTTCCTCTCAAGTAGTTCAGGTAGATGTACCCAAGTCCAGGAGACGCAATGGGTTGTTGGAGATGGGGCAGGAAGCCTCCAGTCCTGGGAAATGTAAAACCAGTGTGTGGCCAGTTGAGCACAGGAAAGTCACCATTGGCTGTTCCTAGCTGAAGCTCCCCATGGAGGACAGAGCTGGCTGGGGGTGCATCTGTGCTGCCGCTGGCTCCCTGAGTGGCCCTGGACGGGTCCCTTCCCCTCTCTGGCCATATCAGCCCCAGTGGAGTCATTGTTGAGGTCCCTTTCACTCGGAACAGTTGGTTTCCGCCCTGTGGCACTTAAACAGTCCTGTCTCTTTCCTTTTGCTAGTTCCTATCACTCGTTTTTATAACTGCTTTCCTCAGCCGTTAATTCACAGGCAATTCTCTTTGTCTCCAGACAGGTAACACTTTTAACTCCACATGCAGGAGACAGAAGAAATGCTGACCAGGTCCTCAGACTATAAATGCTGCTGATGATCTCAGATAATTTCTCCCCAGAGTGGCATTCTCTTCCTAAGAGAAAGGCACCTTAAAGACATTCAGACCAAATCTGCTGTTATACAGAGAAAGAGACTGAGACACAGCAAGGTCAGAGCCCTTGTCCAGGGTGACCAGTAAAGGATGACCAGCTCCCTGGTCCCAACACCCTGTCCAGTGCTCTTTTGGCACAGGACTTAATAGTATTAAGTCAGGCAGATGGTGGTTACCATGGTTACCAGAGTGAGGCCAGATGGCAGATGGAAACTCCATACCCCTAATTCACTGAAAATTACCAAATGACAAGTAAATGTGACAGCCCCTTCACTCTGATCTATGGGATCTGAGGCCCACCCCAGGCACAGACCCAGGGAATAAAGATATTCGTGGGGCCACATGGAAGCAACTCAGAACTGGTTTTCATGATCTCATTACTGACAGGCGTCAGGCCTCCCCGGGGTTCAGCCCTTCTTCCGCACCAGCCTTTGTGTCATCCACCACAGAACCGGGCACTGTTTGCCTGTCACTCTCTGTCCTGAAGTGCTAGTGTGGCCTCTGCCCTTGTGTCCAGATAAAGCATGAAGGTTTGGACAGGGGATGTTTCCTAGCCCAGGCAGCAGCTCATTCTGTGCTGCCCTAAAGCCATCTTTTATTCACAAGACACAGCGGGAGCGTTTTTTAACAATGCCTCTGGGGATCCCGGTTGAAGGAAAACAGACTGTGAGTCAGAGCAGGGCTGTTCTGCTTCAATATTCATGATAAAATCACCCCTCCTGACTCCTTGGGTACCCAAGCACCTAGATTTCATGGAATGAGGCCTCGGGAAGTATTTATTATGTTGTTCACAGTGTGTGAAGGGCCCTTATACATGCCTCTGAGGAGCCTGGGGAAGCAGTTTTCAGGCTTAAATTCTGCCCTTTCCTCCTATGCCCTGAAATGCCCCAAACTGCCACATAATGAGAGTGATCCTTTGATCCGCACACATGTATGGAAGACTCACATATGAATAATTCTTACTGTTGGAAATTGCTTTTGCATCCTTTTTTTTTTTTTTTTTTTTTGAGACAGGGTCTCACTGTATCTCCCAGGTGGAATACAATGGCTTGATCACAGCCCACTGTGATCCTGGGCTCAAGGAATCCTCCTGCCTCAGCCTCCCAAGTAGCTGGGACTATAGGCACATACCATCATGCCCAGCTGATTTTTAGAATTTTTTGTAGAGACAGGATCTTACTGTGTTTCCCAGGCTGTTCTTGAACTCCTGGCCTCAAGCACTCCTCCCACCTCAGCCTCCCAAAGTGCTGAAATTACAGACATGAGATACCATCCCTGGGCTGCACCCATCTTTTTACATGATTTTTACAAGTGTCCTGGGGAGGTCTCCTTCCCATTTGATAGAAGGGAAAGCTGAGGCACATGGAAGGAAATTCCCTGGAGCCACCTGGCTGGTCCCAGCTGTGAAAGGGCTCCAGTGTAGGTTTGCCTGGCTGTTTTGTTTTGTTTTGTTTTGAGACAGAGTCTCACTCTGTCACCCAGGCTGGAGTGCAGTGGTGTGATCTTGGCTCACTGCAAGCTCCACCTCCTGGGTTCACGCCATTCTCCTGCCTCAGCCTCCAGAGTAGCTGGGACTACAGGCGCCCACCACCACGCCTGGCTAATTTTGTTTTTTGTACTTTTAGTAGAGACGGGGTTTCACTGTGTTAGTCAGGATGGTCTTGATCTCCTACCTCATGATCTGCCCGCCTCGGCCTCCCAAAGTGCTGGGATTACAGGCGTGCGCCACCATGCCTGGCCTGCCTCGCTATTTTCAGATGGGCGCTGCACAGCTAGCCGCTAGCAACCTGATCAGTAAGGTGCTGTGCACCCGCCAGCCTTGAATCTTGGGGGTTTCTCAATCTGGGTCCACCTTCCTGTTTTTCCCAAGGTTTGTCACTTGTCCCTCTATTTAGCACTGGGCTATAGCTCCTGAGAGAAGCCTTGAAGGATGGGGAGAGAATCCCAATGCTAGCAAGGGGGAGGCACAGCATGAACTGAGGCTCAGAGGTGGGAGCCCTTTGGTGGGTGTGCAAGTGGGCCCATAGGGCCGAGGCCTGGTAGGATGGTTGGGAAAGGAGATGACACCCCAGAGTAGTTTGGGGTAGGCCACTGCAAGCCTTGGGTGCAAGGCCGAAGGGGGAAGCTTCATTCTGCACTTTGGGAGGCTGAGGTGGAAGGATTGCTTGAGGCCAGGAGTTCAAGGATAGCCTGGGCAACGCAGCAAGATCCCATCTCTACAAAAAATTCTAAAAACTAGCTGGACATGATGGCATGTGCCTGTAGTCCCAGCTACTTGGGAGGCTGAGGCAGGAGGATTTCTTGAGCCCAGGAGTTCGAGGCTACAGTGAGCTATGATCATGCCACTGTACTCCGCCTAGGAGACAGAGTGAGACCCTGTCTAAAAAGAAGAAGAAGAAGGAGGAGGAGGAGGAGGAGGAGGAGGAGGGGGAGGAGGAGAAGGAAGAAGAAGGATGCAAAAGCAATTTCCAACAGTAAGAATTATTCATACGTGGGTCTTCGATACATTCTGAATTATTGGTTCAGCTTCTCACTGGTAAGGTGGTATGGCCTTAGTATTATGATGATTATTATTGCTCTCATTACTTTAAAGGCTGGATAGTTCAGTGTGTGCACCCTATTTGTTAGCATTGGGAGAGGGTTGGGGTCCTACGGACAGCAAGTTAATGTCATGTTTCAAATGATAAATTAGATAGGAACAGGGTCCCGGCCAGCACCCGCCAGGGCATTGAGCCCTGGCAGCTTCGGTGAGCTCCTGAGACCCTGAATCTTAGAAAATTCACCTTGGTTGAAATTCCAGCTCCACTTAGAAACCTAGGTCTGTGCTAGTGTGTGTTACCAGGTAACCAGGAGAGGCAGCGCATGCCACTTCGTGAGAGGGACAAAGAAGGGGGTTTGTGCTCAAAACCCTTTCATGCTGAGGGAGGAGATCTGAGGCAGAGGCTGCAGGGAGCAGGATTAAGCTGTTTCTTGTTCCACATCATAACGTGACTATTAGCATAAATTATCAGGGCTGTTCAGTGTGTTGATTATTAAAATCTTTGGTTATGTGCTTTTTAATACAAGCAGATGGGGTCCTGGGGAATGACTTGATATCCTTTCTTTCCCTAGCACCATTAACTTTAAAGAAATCTCAGAGGGATTTGGGAAGATTTTTTCATTCCAGCCATCAATGATCGATATAATTGACGAGGTAGGGGGACAAATCACCACACACTATAATAATAATATTGATCCCTTTCATTTGTACAGATCCACACAGTTAATAACACAGTCACATCCATTTTCTCCCTTCACCCCAAGGATGCGAGGCTGCGGTCATCATCTTCATTTGCAGATAAAAAGGAAATGATTAGCAACTTGCCCAAGCTCAAGTGGTTGGCAGCGAGACCCCTGGGCATTTGAGTCTCCCTCTGGTACTGTTTTTGCTCACCCCACAGTACTGCCTCCTGTGACCATGTGCATCTGGGTGACTGTCTTACCTGCTGGTTAGCCCTTGGATGGTTGGATTTGTGCAATTCTAGGGCTATTGCTGGCACAAGCAGAAGGAAACAAGTATCAGCAAGGAAGAGCTATAGGGGGATGAAGCTTCCACATTCACAGACTGGGCTAGCTAGAAGCCATCCTCCCTCCTGCAAGCCACATCATTCTTGTGAAAGGCAGGCAGAAAGGAAAGCCCTGGTTCCTCTGGCAGTGTGGCGGCTCTGGCAACAGTAAGAGTATGTGCTTGGCTCCCCAGAGTGAGGGCTGTAGTCATGGTCCCTGGTGCCTCTCACCCAAGGCCAGAGGAGGCTCTCATGCATGCAGGGAGCTTTAGAGGAGATGCCTAAGGACAGCACACCCTGCCTGAGTCCTCAAGTCCCTCTGCAGAGGTCTTTTACAGTTTGTAAGGGGTCTTGCAATTGTTCCTCACAACAGCCTTTGAGGAGTGGGCTGGGAAGGGAATAGATTCCTGTGCCCATTTTAAAGAAGAAGACACTGAGGCCAAGACTGGGACGTGGCAGAGAAAGGATTTGAACCTGGACTCTTCCACCCCTGCCTGCCACGCTGTCCTTCCTGCCTGTGGTGGCAGCCATGACGTTGAGCACTCCAGTGCCATGCTGGAATGAGCCCTTGGGGATAGTAGGGACTAGAAATGTCCTGCTGGTGTCAAGGACACATTGCTCATGTTATGGGTTATCTTCATAAGAGCTGTTCCCTGGGGGTGATGTTTGGGGTGTTTCATTGTTGTATAGAAAACAGCTAACACGGCAGGCCTGCGACCATATCCTCAGAAAGGCCTGCTGGCAAGGTTGGCCTTGGGCTGGTATCTGGGGACTTAGATTTCAGGGGGGTTCCACTCTTCTCAGAATTGATGAGAGTGGCTCACTGTGCCTGAACTGTACAAACAATGTGGTTTATGCTGAACCCCTGCTTTCCTTCTCGGAGTGTGGAATTTGGGTATTCAGTTAGGCAGAGAGTGCCTCTGTGGCCAGCTCCCAGTAAAAACCCTGGGCGCCAAGTCCCTCTTGAGCTTCTCTGGTAGACAGCATTTCACATGCTTGTGACTCCATGGGGAGGGCTCTTGGCATCTTGGGCCTGCTTCCCCAACCCTGACTTTTTCCCTTGGCTGATTTTGCCAGATGGGAAAATCCTTTCACTGTACTAAATCACAGCCTGAGTACCACTAAATGCTGAGTCCTGTGAGTCCTCCTAGTCCTCCTAGGAAATCATTGAACCAGAGAGTTGTCTTGGGGATCCCCCAACACAATCCCTAAGCAACTCATCTCTTATTCTGGATCGGAGACCACACAGATAACAAATGTTCCACTTTAGAAACCAGTGTGGGAGTGAATGGAATCATGGTGCCTGGGTTTGAGTCCCTGTTCCTCTGGGCACTTTACCTTTCTGAGTCTTGGTTTTCTCATCTGTGAAATGGGGATGGAAGCAGCTACCTCACAGGGCTGCCATGAGGATGAAAGGGTGGTGTACGTGGAAGGGTCCTCTAGGGAAAAGGCAGGATGGTGTTAGCACAGTGGTTCAGAAGAGCTTGGGATCTGGAGCCACATCACTGGGCTCACAGCCTCCTCACTACACCCTTTAATGCTCGGTAACCCAGGGCAGCGCCACCATCTGGCAGCTGGTGAGATTGCTGGAGAGATAAACAAGTTAATACCTGTAGGCAGAGGAGTGCTTAGCACACAGCGAGCGCTGTGCTAGCTGATAGCATAATAACAGTGTTATTATTATTGATTATAAAGAGCTACTGTGGATAAAAATATTTTAAATTTAAAATCAGATATGTTAAAATATGTTAAAATTAAAAACAGGGCTGGGAATACAGTGACTCATGCCTGTATTCCCAGAGCTTTGGAAGGCCAAGATGGGAGGATTGTTAGAGGCCAGGAGTTTAAGACCAGCCTGAGCAACATAGCAAGACCCATCTCTACAAAAAAAAAAATTTTTTTTAATTATCTGGGCGTGGTAGTGCATGCCTGTAGTCCCAGCTACTCAAGAGGCTGAGGCAGGAGGATTGCTTGAGCCCTGGAGTTCAAGACTACAGTGAGCTATGATTGTGCCACTTCATTCCAGTCTGAGGATAACATGAGACTCTGCCTCAAAAAAAAAAAAAAAAATTAGAACCGGATTATTATGGCATGAGCAACATGACATTTTTTGAGGTCACAGAACAACTGTTCTGTATCTTGGCTATAGTGGTAATTACATGACTGTATCCATTTGTCAAAACCTAGAACTGCACACCAGAAGGAACGAATTGTGCTTTGTGTAAATTTAAAAATAAATAAATAAATAAATACAAATTTAAATGTCCCTTTAATGTGCTTTGACGTCCCTTTAAAAAGCAGGGCTTCTTTTGTAAAGGAATTTGTATTTTTTGCCACAAAATCAGTTACAAAGTCAGTATTTCCAAGACAGTCTTTCTTAATTGTAGTTGTTAGAGAGACAGACTGAAACATGAGGAGAGAGAGATGAATTGTGATTTATTGGTTTACTCATTTAGGCCTGAAAGGGATTGATGAAATCACATTTAAAATGTATGACTTTACATGAACAAAAGTAAACCAGGCTGATTGAGAGTCCCCTTGGTATCCAGGTCTTTCTGACTGTCACCACAGCGAGCCACTGGAGCACTGGTTTGGGCTTCCCTGGAGGCGGCATCCCAGCGCTTGTGTGGTTGGGGAGGCGCTGGCGGGACAATGTGAATAAATTAGACTGTCTTTGTCATCACAGATGGGGCTCCTGCCGGAGAGCTCAGTGTTGTGGCTCTCTGTGGCTGTCAGGCAACGTTAGACATCTAGGATCTTGGTTCCCGGGGCTTTGGCTACATTCAGGCACATGGGTTGGGCACCACCCTTCAGAGGGCCCTCAGATGGGTACAGCTGAATGAGTGGGTGGATCAGATAGAGGGGGAGGAAAGCAGCCTGGGATGGGGAGGGCAGTCTGTATTCAACTCACTGGTGGGCTGCTGGGACACCCAGGGGCTATGGGGCTCCAGAGGGCAGCCCCAGGATCAACAGGTGGGAGTTACAGGCTTTAGCTCTAGGTGAGGATGCACCTTCTTACCAGTGGAGCCCTCCAAAGACAGAATGGCCTGGCTCCGTAGGTGGTGAGTTCTCCATCCCTGAAGGCATGCAAATGGAGGCTGTGCGAGCATGTCATACGTGGTCAGGCACAGAATCACAGAGAATCAGGATGCTAAAGAGCCTCTCTAGTTTGAGACTGTGGCTCTAAGGCGATTTTCCAGAGATTTTTTGGCACTGGCTTGACAGGGTCTGCTTCCCAGTCTGTCTGGAGGGGCCAAACTAGTCTCCTTTCTGCACCCTGATCCTCCTGAGCATTGGGGTGTGATGCGACGCTGTCCGTCACCTCCTTCCTCCTGCCTTCTGTCTCCTCCCTTTGCTCTCCTTTTGTATTGCAGCCTTATCCAGGTGCAGTCTTGTGGAGAACAACAGGGCTGTCCTTGAGTCACCAGGCAAAGCCCTAGGAGTTCTAGACTCTGCAGTTTGATGGCCTGGAAATGAACATGTTTGTTCCTTGATTTCTCATGTGTTTGTTCATCCAGTCATCCTTTTGCTCCTGGCCCTCACTTGCATATCACATTAACTTACACTTTTCACTCATTCCATGGTTAGATCAGCCTGACCGCCCTAGGAAGCAGGGGTGTGATCCCCACCTTATAGATGACAGCTGGGTGGGAGCATTCCCTGGCCAGGCCTCTACACTGCACGTTGCCCAACACGCTGTGGTGCTGGATGCCAGGGTGGCTGAGTTGCTGTCCAATGCAGGTGAGAGCAGGTAGAAACGCCTGGCCTTGATTATTCCAGCCCAGTGTGAGCAGAGCAGATGCCAGGCATGGGGAGGAAGGCAGAGTGTGGAGTAGGAGTTTGAAACATCTAACACTGGGTCCTGTCCAGGGAGCCCATACCCTCCCTCTCCTCTCCGTCATGTTCTGGCAGTCTAGAACCACATTTCCCTGATTCCCTGATTTGCCCAGGCTTGGGTCGGCTTCTGGGGATGGGGAGGCAGAGGGAGTGGGGGAGCCCTGGGGAGTCTTTACCCTGTGCATGCAAATGGGCATCTTGAATGGACCGCAGGGGATTGAGCTCCAGGGTGTGTGCAGCTGTTCTTCCTGGCATTCTTCTTCCTAACACCCTCCACGTGGAAGGAGAAAAGCCCATCTGTTAGAAGACTCTGCCGTTGGTGGCGTGACACCAGCCCCTCTAGGAGTCGGCTGCCGTTTTTCCTGGTTGAGCTATAGCAGATGGCAGCCGGAGCCTGGAACGGACCCTGGGAGGGAGCACTGAGGCCCAAGCTCTGCCACAGATGGTGCTGGGGGAATTTGGGAAGTTGCCCTTCCCCTCTGGACCCCTGCTTTCCCATTGGTAAAACAATCATTGGATCAGGAGATCGGTCGGCAGCTTTCCAGGTCTGAGGAAATCTCTCTTTTAGGATTCCTGCCCAAGCGTGATGTGCCGCTCCCCTCATGTCAGGACATCACAGCGGGCTCTCCGCGGCAGGGGAATTTAGAGGTGGGTTGCTTGGAACCCTGCAGGGTAAAGGCTGCGTCTCCTTGTCTCCTCCTCCTAGCTCCTGTGGTCGTCGTTCCTCCCCGAAGTGTTCACAACGTCACCGGGGCGCAGGTGGGCCTGTCCTGTGAAGTGAGGGCTGTGCCTACCCCAGTCATCACGTGGAGAAAGGTATTTCTGTCCAAGAACTCATGCATCTCGTGTGTGTGTGTGTGTGTGTGTGTGTGTGTGAGAAAGAGGGAGAAACAGACGTGAGTGGTAAAAATGTTTTTCTTTTAAGTGTGTTTATATATATATGCCTTTATAGGTGGGCCAGAGGATGAAGAAAAGATATCATCTGTACCACTCCTCTGCCTCGAAACTTCTACCCCAAACCTCTCCCCTTGGAAGGGAACATTGCAACCCTTCCTGTGCCACTTACACCCTTGGCCACTTAGGGACCCAGAAAGCTGTGCTTTTACCCAGTCTGCTTCAGCTGCGGTGGCCATGTGTGTGTGTATCCTGCTTCACTTCGGGGCTGTGTTTCAGACAGACCTGGCTGGTGGCAGAAGACTCAGTCCTATTCCAAAACCAAATCTTCTAAAGACCAGTTTTTGAGAGACCGGCAAGGATCACAGCGAATGTTGTCCCCTTAATGTCAATAGCCCTGAGACAGGCGTTGAAATTCTGAATCTTTCTGTGGGATGGTGGTGATGTTCGGGTCTTTGCTGTCTGGCAGAGCGTGCTGTCTATATGTACAAGTAGGTTTAAAAAATGACTGATGTCATTTGCATAGGCATGAGCAGTGCTAGGGTTTCCGTTTTTGAGTCAGTGGGAGGAGGAGGAAGGAGGAGGGCAAGGAAGCCTATGGGATGGTCTTTATCCAGAATTGCTTTTTCTAAGCCCCCTCCTGGCATTCCTGTCCCCTGTAGGTCACGAAGTCCCCTGAGGGCACCCAAGCACTGGAGGAGCTGCCTGGGGACCATGTCAATATAGCTGTCCAAGTGCGAGGGGGCCCTTCTGACCATGAGGCCACGGCCTGGATTTTGGTGAGTGTTTAGGATTATTGGATATTATTGACTGACCATTATAAACCATCCTTTATATTTCTACAACACATTACATGTTTCAAAGCTGTTCTTACCCATTTCTCACTGGCCCCTCCAGTAACTGTGAGGCAGGCAGGGCAGGTTTCAGATCTGCTGGGAACATACGTGTTCTGCTGCCAGGGGCAGAGTGATGGCCCCACAGTGATGTCCACCACGTCCTCACCCCCAGAACCGTACGATGTTACATGGCAAGGTGGTGGGAGGGAGGTTGTGGTTGCTAAACAGCTGAGATAAGGAGATTTAAGATAAGGAGATTAGCCTGGATTATCCGGGTGGGCCAATTTAAAGGTGGGTCTTTAAGTGTGGAAGAGGGAAACAGAAGAGTCAGAGGCAGACTGAAGTGATTCGATGTGAGGAGGACTTGACCCACCATTTCTGGCTTTGATGATGTTGGAAAGGGCCACAGCCAAGGAGTGCCAGCATCCACTAGGAACTGGAGAAGGCAAGAAAATGAGTCTCCTGAGAGCCTTCAGAAAGAATGCAGCCCTGCCGGCACCTTGATCTTAGCCCCCTTTGGGCCTCTGACCTCCAAAACTGTAGAAAAGAAATGTGTTTGTTTTAAGGCACTCAGCTTGTGGCGATTTGTTACAGCAGCCCAAGGAACTAGTACACCTGCCTAAGGTCACCCGCTGGTAAAGGTAGAAGGTGGCACATTCGAGTCCTCCTCCAGAGCTCTTTCCTGCCACTCGCAGCACTTTTACCAAGATGAAGAATGCCACATGTTTGAAAGAGTGATGGAATGAGGAGATAGGGGTCCATGTTGGGTCGTCACTGTACCCTTCTGAGCCTCCATTTCCACTGTTGTTGAAAGAGGGCTTCAAACTGAAAGACCTCTGAGGGCCTTTGTGGCCCTGGCAGTCTGTGATTTACCTGTGAGTCTCCTGTAAAAAGAAGACCATAATGCTCACCCTTCCCCCACGACTGGCATGAGTTTAAAACGAGCTGATGTGCGTACACCAGCGCGTGGTCGGTAGGATGATTTGTAATTGATGGAAGCGGTTGGTTGTAACGAGAAAGCAAAAAAGACGCGAGCTGGTTATGGACCTGGCTGTGAACATCCTTGGGGTGCTCCCTAAGGACAACCTCCTCATTCCACCCACAGCTCTGGGAGGCTTGGTGACTCTTCTCCACCCAGCTGAGAGATTGGGAATGCAATTGGCTGTGCGGTTTTTTCAAATCAAGCACATTCCTCTATTTTCTTAGGAGAAAAGACAGGGAAAAGAGGTTATCTCTGGTGGTATTTTGTAGAGGCTGCCCCTATAGGGAATACTTTCTGGATCATTCTTTGGTCAGTAGATTTTTGTTCTTCTTTTAACTTGAGGTGTTTTCCAAATAACCTATACCTTGCACCTTTAATACAAAAGACCAGGTAGCTCACAGTAAAAGGCAGGTGTGCGGAGGAATCATTCAGATGAGAGCCACAATAGGGAGCGTGCCTTTCAAGAGGGTCCCTGGGAAGGAAATTTACCTGCGTGCTCCTTGGCAGCCAATGCAAGGAGAGAAATAGAGCAAGTTTTACCTTATTCTGAAAAGGAGGAAGTGTGCAGACTTATCATTAAGAACTAACTAAGGAAGTCATTTTGCTGTTCCTTATATAACTGTATAAACTTGCCTGTTGTATTTCTAGATCAACCCCCTGCGAAAGGAGGATGAGGGTGTGTACCAGTGCCATGCAGCCAACATGGTGGGAGAGGCTGAGTCCCACAGCACAGTGACGGTTCTAGATCTGAGTAAATACAGGAGCTTCCACTTCCCAGCTCCCGATGACCGCATGTGATGGAGAAATGTACATGTTCTAAGTCATTTTCAGTATTTTACACCCATGTTATGAGATATTTGAGGTGGCTTATAAGACCTGTAAAAAAAAGAAGAAAAATACGTAAATGGAGGAAACCAGGGAAAGAGCAAAAGAAGAGTAGGGACATACTTAGATGAGCAGTAGAATCCCTGGTATATTCTGCACACATCTCCCTCTGAGCTTCTTAGCATGCAAAGACAAGAGCTGTGAACATGATGTGTGTCCATGAGATGAAAAGACCAGTTGTGTTTTGGGGCTGGAGGGAATATTTCCTCTGTATTCTTCTAGAAAGAGCACTGAGAGAGGTAGCAGACAGTGTCATTGTGACAGCGTCCATGTGAAAATGTTCCCACAAAGAAGATGCCTGAGCTTCCTTTGTGTGTTCCTGGAGCTCTTCCTTGTTCAGGACACCTGAGCTTCCTTCCTGGGGCTCAGGCCTTGCCTTCCTGTCCTCAGCACTGTGTGCTGCTTTGCAACACATCTCCTTGTGGGTAGGGGCAGAGAGAATCTCTGCATCCCCTCTGGTCAAGGCCTCCTAGTCTGTAGTCACACAGGTGACAGCTGGGGTTGCATCTGTTCCTTGCCTACAGGTGAACTGGGAATTCGGGAAAGGGATCACTTTATAAGCCAGCTTTTGCTCATAAAAATCCCAAAATCTTGCTGGTTCACAGCCACAGACGTTGATCACTTGCTCATGTTCCATGTTATAGCTGTGAGCTGGCTGTGGCCCTGCCCCATGTGTCCCCTCATTCAGGACCCAGCTGGAGGAACAGCTCCAGTGTGGAACATGTCCGTTCTGTGGCCAGGCTGCACACACCATTGCATTTAAAGTTTCTGCTCGGATGTGATGTGTGCCCCGCCCATTTACAGACCAATCATTTTTTTTTTTTTTTTTTGAGACAGAGTCTCACTCTGTCACCCAGGCTGGAGTGCAGTGGTGCGATCTCGGCTCACTGCAAGCTCTGCCTCCTGGGTTCACGCCACTCTCCTGCCTCAGCCTCCCGAGTAGCTGGGACTACAGGCACCCGCCACCACACCTGGCTAATTTTTTTGTATTTTTAGTAGAGACGGGGTTTCACCGTGTTAGCCAGGATGGTCTTGATCTCCCGACTTCATGATCCGCCCGCCTTGGCATCCCAAAGTACTGGGATTACAGGCGTGAGCCACCGTGCCTGGCCTGCACGATCCTCTTACAGGAATGGGGGAGCAGTGGTGAACAGGCACCATTACCAAGGCTGATCAACAGGTGCTTAATAGAACAGGAAAAATTAGAAACAAGTCTGATAGGGTTTCTCAAAAGCAGGGGGATTTTGCCATGGTTTTAGTTATATTATTCTTTCAGCCACTACTGTTGCACACCTTCTGTGTGCAAGGCCTTACTTCTGGTCTGTAGGGGATCACAGAAAAACAAAAAGTGGACATAATTATAATACAAGGAGTGCGATGTAAGGGAATGGGAGGAGATATTAAGGCATGAAAAGCAGCTTAGAACTGGGGAAAATGAAGGAAGAATCATCGAGGAGGTGGCATGAGGATTGAAGGATGGGTGTACGTGAGTAGTTAGAGGCCCTAGAAATGGGGAGAAAAATATGAAAATGTAAAACTGTGAAATAGGAATTCAACAAAGAGTTAGGAGATTGGGTCTTAAAATTGTCTTCCTGATGATATGTGACTTGTTTTATATAGATATGTTTCCAGTTTTAAATATATATATCTATAATTTTCAAATACACGTATATTTTGAGGCAGAAATGATTCTGGGTTGTGAATACATCAAAAGGATACCATGAAAAATTGTGGAATTTTAAGAGCATCACTGCTGCCTAGGTCTTGAGTTCCTTCTGTGACACACAGTATTGCCAGCTCTGGCTTACATACCTCCAGGGATACAGAGCTCACTACCACTGAGAGCCATCTGTGGATTTTCCAATGGTTGAAAAGATCTTATTAAGCTGGAGTCTGCTGCTTTGAAACGTCCACCTTTTGGTCTTAAAAGTACTTCTTGGGACTCCACAGGGCCCTTCACTCTCCACTGGCACCATTTCCTGCTGGGGAGAGATTCGAAGTGAAGGATCATTTCCCCCACCTTCCATGTAACACATAGTTGATTGTAACGGAGCAGGCTTACGTTCTCTAATTCTTTCTCTCCTTTTCTTCCTAGGGTCTTAGAAACATTGATCATGGGATGATGGAAAAGTCAAATAACGGATCTTTGTGCTTCATGAAGAGTTGGAAAACCTGTGTGTGTAGATGACCCCTTTTGTGTGTTTTTAAAAATTAGATGCAAACTAGATCTGTATGCAGATGTAGTTTTTAGCAGGGCAAACAGTGAGAAACGGATTTGCATGTGGCTTTTTTATACTTTTGAAATGAATTGTTCCATGAGAAGTCTTTTTGTAATTATTCTCTTCCAGGGAGATCACAGAACGGCATGTTTGCAATTTCGAAAGGGCTCGTGTCAGCTGTGACTCTTTACCTCATTTGTCTATGACCTATTAGTGGTGCTCTGTGACTTAGTGTGTGTTGTAGAAGGAGGGATGAGGGTCCCAGCTGTCCTCTGCCTGACTGTAACTTGCTGTGTGACCTGAACAGATCCCTTCCCCTCTCTGGGCCCTGGTCCCTTCATCTGTGAGTATGGCATTTTAACTGGATGTTATCAATGTCCCTTTTAGCCCTGCCATCCTAGATTAAGATGGCCTTTTGGGAAAATAACAGGAAGTGTGGTCTTAGTGTTCTTTCTAAAATGGTATTCCCTCAGAAACAAATTCCATTGCTTTACCCCAACGTGTGGACAGCTGGCTGTAGCTCTTCTATTCCTAACTTTTTCCCTTTGAAGGAGATTTAGTTTTAGGTGGGATGCTTTACCAGACTCAGGAGCGCCTTGGCTGGGTCTTTGGAGACCAGAGCATCCATTTGTTAGCCTAGCATTCTCTTTTTTAAAATTTTATTTTGAGACAGGGTCTCGCTCTATCACCCAGGCTGGAGTGCAGTGGCGTGATCATGGCTCACTGCAACCTCCACTTTCTGGGCTCGAGTGATCGTTCCACCTCAGCCTCCTGAGTAGCTGGGACCACAGGCATGCCCCACCACACCCAGCTATTTTTTTTTTTTTTTTTTTTTTTTTTGTAGAGACAGGGTCTCCCTATGTTGCCGCCCAGGCTGGTCTCAAATTCCTATGCTCAAATGATCCTCCTGCCTTGGCCTCCCAAAGTGCTGGGATTATAGGCATCAGCCACTGTGCTTGGCCTAGCCTAGCATTCTCTAAACAGGTGGTTAGAAGCGGTGGATACCAGGCTTCTGACGATCAAATTGTAAAAAAAGGGGTCAGGTGTTATCTCCAGACTGTGGAATTAGATTGTAGTAGAATATATTTTACCTACAAACATTTTGACCTCACCCAAGAGTAAGGCTCTCTTTTTTTTCTTTTTTAATGAAAAAAGAAAGGAGAATATTTGCTATCTTATCTTAAAAAAATAGATCCTTAGGTGATTACAATTTTAAAATAAGAATTGAGAGCCCTTACTATGCACAGTCCTTTAAGTTCATAAAGCTTGATCCCAACTCTGGGAGATGGGGCAGGACAGGTGTTAATGTCCCTGCCTTTAGCAGATGAAGAAACCAGGCTCTGAGAGGAGAAGCTACTTGCCCAAGGCCTGAAGGCCTCTGAAAGAGGAGCAGAGCTCAGGGCACCTGGCCCTCCTTGGTCCCCTCTCTACTCCACGGTGCTGCTACTCAGGGTCATCTCAAAACTATGTAAAGGCAGATGTTGCCAATCCACAGGCTTCAGGGACTCTTATCAAGACTCATCCCAACTTTTAAGGCACACTTTCACACCGCTCACATTGTGCATTACATTTTGGAGTCCTTGTTGGAAGTGAACTTTCCGCCTGTAAGCCTGCCATTCCATGTCTAATATATTGGGATGGCATCACCTTCTGTACTATGCAGCAGAAGGAGACTGGCCTGGGATTCTGGAAACATGAGATCCATTTGCATATTAATCCCCGGCTCGCTGTGTGACCCTGAGCAAGTCTCCTTCACTTTCTGTGCCTCAGTGTCCTTATTTGAGTAAAAAGGGAATAAAACTAGATGAGTGGTTTTCAAACTTTAAAACACTGGAAGCTCTCTTTGAAAACAAAAGATGAGAATTGAAATGGATGGCACTGGAAGCTGTTCTTGTCTACTGGGGTTTGGAGCTGCCAGGGGACCTGCTCACATCCACTCCTCACTCAGCCCCTCCCGCCCCTCCCTTCTCCACGCACTGTGACTGACTTCCATGTGTGAAGGCCTGCAGTTAATTCTCCTGTGTCTTGAATGGTTGGGAGATGAGTTGGTCAGACCCTTAGTGAAATGATGTGGGAAGGAACAGGAATGCTGTGGCTCTGAAGAAGGTAGTAGAACATCCCACACCTGCTAATAAGCACATTTTGCAAACTCAGTTGACTCACCTCAGATTTGCCTAGTGAAAACTGAAGGGCTGGATGTAGACCCAGAGAGCAGGGTGGACAGAGCCCATGCTGGAAGTACTGAGCATCAGGACTGTATGGGGCTGGCTTTAGCATCATCATTCTGTGCAAAGACAAATAATTAATGTCACACTGTCTGAAATTTTCACCAAAACCAAAAAGGCGCATTAACATGATTGTTCCAACCTCATGGTTTTTCAAGTGTGAGCGCCCAGAGACCTCTTCAGAGGCTAAGAGAGCATGCGCTGCCACAGCTGTTAGCATTTGGAGACGTAATTACAATGCCCCCACTCCCCGCACCAAACCTGGGTTTTTCTACCGTTTTTGTAGATGTCATGATGTCACGACCCCTGCACCCTGAAAAAAATAAATGTTTTTAAGGACAGTCTTTGTGGTGTCTTTGTTGTAGGAATGCTGTATAGGTGGGTGCAGGTCCCACTGGTATTCCTTTATCATCCCTCATGCCTCCTGTCCTTCCTTCTGCATGCCCACTTCAGCTACTTAGTCTAGATCCTCCTTACCTCCCACGCCTGGTTGCGATCGCAGCCCCACCGTTCACCTTGCCCGAAATTTTTAACCAGCCCTAATCATCTTACACTACTGCCCTTGACTATGTGTGTCCTGCCGTGTACGCATTCTAGTACTTAATTCACTTGCTGAGATAGTGCTCTGTCCCCTCCCACACACACAGTAGCATTCTCCAGGTGCCAGACAGGTACAAGATGCCGAAAGTCATATGTTTGGAATCATCTGGATTCCTCCCATATGAAAGTAGGTAGAATCAGGTCCTGAACTCAGACTCCAGTGGAGACATGGGTGGGATGAGGTCACCATCCCTGGCAGCATATGGTGTCTGCTTTGTGGTTAGAGCAGAGGGAGATCAAGGAAGACTTCCCAGAAGAGGAGGCAGGCATTTGAACTGGCAGGAGTGGGTGTGGGGGATTCCAGGCTAAGGAAACAGCATGCAAAAAGGAGTCGGGGTAGAAAAATGCAGTGTAGTTTGTGAACAGGGAGGAATGGCCAGTTGCTGCTGCTCAGAGCTATGGTGGTGGGCGGGTAGTAGTTTGGGGCAACACCCCTCAATGCAGACAGAGGAGGTTGAACTTGTTGCCGTAAGCAGTGGACAGACTGAATCTCTGTCTCTGTTGTCAGCTGGGCTTGAGGAAGACAATTCCACAGCCCATGTTCAATCCCAAATGTATCTGCTTTCCCCCTTAAACACAAATAAGGCTAGTTTTTAGTTAAGGTGGATTTTTTTTTCTTTCAGGTTTTATGGTGAAATTAATTCCAACATCTTTAAAAACACTGTCCTGCCCTCTCCTCCAGGGACGGATGGTGCAGGAGAAATGAATAAGAACGGCAGATCCAGCGACAGTAAAAGTCTCCGCTAATGAATTTCCTCCTTCCCAGCCTTTACGAGGGCTTCTTGAACATTACATCAGACAATGATTATTCCATGATATTTTAATTAATTAAGGGAAAGCCAGGTGCTCTGGTGTCTCAGTTTAATGAATTCAGAACGTGGAAGCCCAGTGCCCAGGGCTGAGATGGACACCAACACTTGCCCACGCTCTGGCTCTCTGGGGCTGACCGCTCTCCTGGAACGTGAACTCGTTTACGGCCAGGGCTCCTTTTCAGTTCAGCCTCGATTGCATCCAGCAGTGAGAAGTGCGTGGGTCCAAGGAGGCAGACTTCCCTGTGTTGACTTTCACTGTGGCTGTCTCTTCCTCATGCCTACATCTCCCCTCCTATATTAGGGAACGGTTGATTCTCGAGGGAAGAGTAAAAATCCTGAGTACTAGGGAGTGGGGGAACAGTCTCCCCTCTTTTCTCCATGCATAAACCCACCCATCACACATTTGCAGAGCTCCTCCAGTGCACCAGGCATCGCCAGGTAGCAAAGGGTCTACAATTGCCCACAGACCTCGGAGTCTCAGCTCCGGCACAGAAGGCTGCTTGTGGTGCCAAGTGGCATGCCCCGTCTCTCTGCTGTTGAAGGTGTATGCAGCTCTTGCTTGGGTGGAAAGGGCACTAGCTTTAGAGTTGGAAGACCCAGAACTAAGGTCAAGCCTTGTCAGAGATTGCAAGGCTGGGTCACTTTCATCAACTCTTAGAGTTTCCATTTCCTCTTCAATCCAGGAAGGGTGGCATCCCTGCCCTGGCCTGTTGCTCTGAGAGCCCCATGTGTGAATGGCCATGCACTGTCTGTTCTGCACAGATCTTGGAGGGCTGTGTGCCGGTGGGAGAGGGCTGGGAGATAAATCAAACATGCTCAGAGTATGTGAGACATAGTCTAGCAGGACAAAAACATTAGACCCGTTTCAACCAACGAGAGCTGCCTCAGTACAAGACTAAATGAAGGGTGCCCAGAGACCTCTTCAGAGGCTAAGAGAGCATGTGCTGCCACAGCTGTTAGCGCAAAAGGTTAGCTCAAAGGGTGAGATTGCTTAAATGAGAAGTTCAGAGGAACTGTCCTGGAGGGGGTGGCCCTTAAGTAGGGCTCCAAGAAAAAGGAACAGTGTGAGCACGGCTGGATGGGAGGCAGCAAATGACCCACGAGAGCATTAAACTCAAAAAACATCCTTGTGAGAAGCAGTCTCCTGTTGGCATATCTCCACGGACGTGCCATGGGCGGCAGAGCTGGGGCGAACTGCCAGCAAAACCGAGGGTCTTCCACAGTGTTGAACTGTCCTGTCACAGACTATACTTCCCGTCTCCTCTTGCACCTAGGCTGGGTCATGTAGCTAGTGAAATGTGAGTAGAGGCGATGTGTTCCATGCAGAGCCCAGGGCTCTCAAAAAGTCACTGTGCCTTTTCTGCACTTTCTTCCCCATTTACCAGCTGACACGGAGATCTCTGAGGCCCCAGACAGGGGTTTTCACTTGGATCCCTGGACCCCTTGGGATTCTATAGGTAGATTCACAGATTCTGTGAACTCCTTGAAAGTGTGCAAACTGTGTGCATGTGCGTGTACATCCTTTTCATGGTGAAAAGGTCTATTGCTTTGATTAGCTTTTCAAAGGAACGCAAAACATAAAAATGGTTAAGAACAGGCCAGGTGCGGTGGCTCATGCCTGTAATCCCAGCACTTTGGGAGGCCGAGGCCGGCAGATCACCTGAGGTCAGGAGTTCGAGACCAGCCTGGCCAACATGGTGAAACTGTGTCTCTACTAAAAATACAAAAATTAGTCGGGCATGGTGGTAGGCACCTGTAATCCCAGCTACTCGGGAGACTGAGGCAGGGGGAATTGCTTGAACCCAGGAAGCAGAGGTTGCAGTGAACCGAGATCGCGCCACTGTACTCCAGCCTGGGCAACAGAGCAAAGGCTCCGTCTCAAAAAAAAAAAAAAAAAAAAGGTTAAGAACCGTTGTACATGGTGGAACCACAAGACGAAAGGAACCGGTGTCCCTGAATCTCCATGTGGAAGGAAAATACCAATTTGCCAGGTACCTGCATTAGACTGTTACATAAGCAAAACTAAATAGTCGTCGTATTGAACCCTCAAATTTGGGGGGTTATTTGTTGTGGCGGCTAACATTATGCCAGTACACATGGGAAGAACGCTTGGCTGGGAGCAACTTGTCCAAGTTGCTCTGTCCACATTTCTGGCTAAGTGAGGTGGGATGCACCAGAGGCTCTCAAAGGGCCTCATACCAGGACTTCTTGCTTTCCCTTGAGGGTCTTCCTAACTCCAGGACTAATGTACAGATCATTGGCGCTTGGGAGGATTAAGTGACACTCTCAACCCAGGTTTTCTGGCTTCTGTGCCCAACTCCACCACCTGCTCTTACCAAGGTCTACAGGGAGTCCTGGTGGCTGCAGCCAGGGACATTGCTCAGTGCTCCTCCTACTTGACCTCTTGGGAGCCTCAGGCTTTGCTGGGGGCTCCCTCCCCCGGAAAGTACCCCGCCTTCCTTGGCTTCTTGCCTCATCTCTCCTGGGTCTTCCTCCTGCTCCTCCTCATTCTCTGTTCACTCCTTGTTGGCATTCTTAAGGTCAAATGATTTTGCTCCCCTTACAAACTGTTCTCAACATAGCGGCCCCAGTGATCCTTTTAAAACAAGTCATATCATGTTGCCGCTGTGCCCAAAAGCCTCTGGTGGCTCCTTCCTCAGAGTAAAGGCCCCCGTCAGTCCATCCACACGGTGACCTCCAAACACCAGCCCTCTGCCCCCCTCAGGCTGTGACTTCTCTGTCCTATTTCCCCACCTGGCTTGCTCCATGCCAGCCACCTGGCCTTCTCCTGTGTTCCTGGAGCCTCCAGGCATGCTCCAGTCTCTTGGTGAGACGACCTCTGAGCACCTTACTGAAAATTACAATGTCTACTCCATCCCACCCACTTCCCTATTCCCTTCCCAGCACTGTTGTTCTCTATAATACCCTTCACCTCCTGACAGACTAACGATTTCACCTGTTTTGCATATGGTCTGCCTCTTCTATCAGAAAGGATGTTCAGGATTTTATTTTTTTTTTAGTTTCCTGCTGTATCCTCTGCCCCTAGAATAGTTCCTAGCACATAGACAACATTCCATAAAATGTGTTAAACAAAGGAATACATAAGTAAGAGTCCCACCGTGTCCCTAAACGTGCAACCTCCAGGGTGGTTGCAGTGGCTGGCACTACCCCCCACGTGGTTACTGCAGCCAGAAACATGAGGTTACCCAACTTTCTCTCCTCTCTTGTGCCAAGTTGTCCATCTGTCATCATGCCCTGAAGCCTGCCTTCTGGCTGTCCAGACTCTGCCCCCACCCCACACCCTGGTGTGCCAGCATCACTTTGGGCGCAAGCAACAATGTCCTGAGAGGTGCTGACTCCAGGTCAACTCCCTCAATCTATCCTCCACATTGAAGCAGAGCCAGCTTCAGAAACCGAATGTGATCCTATCACTTTCCTTTAAAAGCCCTCGGGGGCAGCCAGACATGGTGGCTCACACCTGTAATCTCAGCACTTTGGGTGGCTGAGGCAGGAGGATTGCTTGAGGCCAGGAGTTCAAGACCAGCCTGGGCTACACAGCGAGATGTCCCCCATCTCTACAAAATGTTAAAAAAGTTAACCCAGCATGATGGCACACACCTGTAGTCCCAGTTACTTGGGAGGCTCAGGTGGGAGGATCGCTTGAGCCCAGGAGTTTGAAGCTGTAGTGAGCTATGATCAAGCAACTGTGCTCCAGCCTGTGTGGCAGAGGGAGACCCTGTTTAAAAAACAAAAGCAAAACCAAAAAGCACCCTCCCATTGCTAGACCAAGTGTGAGCTTTCTGAAAGGATGCACGAGCCCCTTCACAGTCCAGCCCCTGCCTGCCCCCTGCCCCCATGCTTTTCCTCCCTGCCTCTTTCCTCCTCATGGAAAAACTTGCCCTTCCTCCAACCCTCCATATTTCTCAGACTCCAGGAGCATCCTTCCCTTATCCCTCTGGTCCCCTGCTAGTCATTTAGCAGGACCCCATGCCCACTCCCACTGGGCCTGTGCCTGAACTGAGCTGGGAGCCCTGGGAGGCAGCGGTGTCTGGCAGAATCAGAGGACCTGAGCTTGAGCCTGTCTCCACTCACTGCTGAACACCTCCCAGGCTTGATGTCTATCAAGTGCAGAAGAATAATACTGAGGGCCCTGATGGCAGTTAGAAAGTGAAACCCTGTCTCTACTAAAACTACAAAAATTAGCCGGACGTGGTGGTGTCTGCTTGTAATCCCAGCTACTCAGGAGGCACCCAGGAGGCAGAGGTTGCAGTGAGCCAAGATTGCGCCACTGCACTCCAGCCTGGTAGACAGAGCGAGACTCCATCACGAAATTAAAAAAAAGAAAGAAGCATGAAGGGAGGTGGCCCACCGTGTGTGCTTGATACAGAGGCTTGCTTTCCGCTCATGATCTCACGGCCTCTGTGCTTCTCACTGCACTGTCCACCCGGCTCTGTAATTGTCTCCCCTGCCCAACTGTGAGCTCCTGCAGGGAAGGGACTGTCTTACTCAATTCTCTTTCCCCCAACAATAGGCCTAGAGCAGGACCATCGCCCCCCACCCAACCCCTTTGTTTTTTCTTAAACCAAAGAGTTACTTGTGTGAATTAATGAATCAGGTGGCCACCAGAGGTCAGCCTCACACCCAGAATGGAGCCAACCCAAATGAAAGTTCCTAAATGGCCCCGGGTCTGAGGAGAACCGGTGGGACTGAGCAGCAGCTCTGATGCATCCAGCACAGTGGCTGGCTTGGGTGTGTAGGGCTTGCTGGGCTTTGCCGTGGGTTCTCCAGGCTTGGAGGGTTGGTTCCATGTGCTTGCCAGTATGCGCCGCTCTCTGGTCCCTCGTGCATGCTCATGGGGAACTGATTCCAGAAGAGTTCCCTATTAAACCTCTCCACTTCCTTTCCCTCACCTGAAAAAAGTGGGGTGGTAACTCCATTACTCCACTACCTGCTTTATAGGATGGTTGTGAGGCTTCCATAGCATGGCAAGGTGCCTGGCATAGTGTTTATGGAGTAAGATCTTGGTGAGAGTTTGCTAAGTGGATGGAAGCCCCAGAATTGCAACATCTCCCAAGTGTGAGTCTGGTGGGCAGTGTCTGGCCTGAATGAGGACACCCAGTTAAACCTCCCTGCTCACAAGTCTGTGCATTCAGCACAGTGGTAAAATGAGTGGAGGGGACTGGGCTTGCTGGCTCACGCCTGTAATCCCAGCACTTTGGGAGGCCAAGGTGGGCAGATCATTTGAACTCAGGACTTCAAGACCAGCCTGGGCTATGAGGCAAAACCCTGTCTCTCCAAAAAATACACAAATCAGCCAGGCATCATGACATATGCCTGTAGTCCCAGCTACTCAGGAGGCTGAGGTGTGAGGATTGCTTGAGCCCAAGAGGTGGAGGCTGCAGTGCGCCATGATCGTGCCACTGCACCCACCCTGGACAACAGAATGAGACCCTATCTCAATGAATGAATGAATGAATGAATAAATAAATAAATAAATAAATTTTTAAAAGAATTTAAAAATGGGTGGAGGAGCCGTGATGGCTGAGTTTATTAACAATCTGACCTACAGGCTCCTCACTCTCAGAATTTCAGGGCTCAAAACAAGGGACCATGAAGATTGTCTTTTCCAATCCCATTCCATACTGGAACACTGTCTACAGAGCTCGTCTTTGGTTAAGGAGTATTGAAACTTAAATAAGGAATGGAGTTGTTAAAATATTGTGATGTTGCACATTAATCATTAGAGACACCCAGCCGCCCATTTCCATGTCCCAGTGCGTTTATGAGAAACTTTCGCTGCTGTGCAACAGAGGTGCCAACAGCCTCCCAGAGAAATCCGTAGAAGGTGCACTATGGGGGAGTGTCAGGGTCACCTTAGCTGTAGACAAATGGTGTAGAAAGGAGGTCCTAGGAAGGGAGGTGAGGGAACCAAACAGACTCTGAACCCTCAAGCAGCAGTTTCCAGCCAAACCCAAGTTATGATAATAAACAAAATCATCATGTTGCCTAGGTAAGACAATAGGATGTTTAAGAGTTGACTGGGGCCAGGCATGGTGGCTCATGCCTGTAATTCCAGCACTTTGGGAGGCCGTGGCAGGAGGGTTGCTTGAGACCAGGAGTTTGAGACAAGCCTGGGAAACATGGTGAAACCTCATCTCTACAAAAAATACCAAAAAAAAAAAAAAAATTAGCCAGGCATGGTGGTGAGTGCCTGTAGTCCCAGCTACTTGGGAGGCTCAGGTGGGAGGATTGCTTGAGCCTGGGAAGCAGAGATGAGTGGGGTGTGCATTTACAGGAATGGGGGGACTTGAACGTAAGGTGGCTTGTAAGCAGCATGGTCTAGAAAGATGGACCGAGAGAGGGAGGCTCAGCATTCTGCTTCTGTATTGTGGCCTGGCTGGCTTGGATTTGCCTTCACTCCCATCAGTTGGGGAATGAATGTAGCAAGACTAACAATAAACATTATGAACTCTGAGGTTTGAAACTCTGGAAATCCCCAGCATGTCAAGGTGGCCCCCATGCTAGGCTTGGCTTGAAGGGTGGGTATGGTTTGGAAGGGGTGGGGGGCTGTGGAAACGAGTCCAACAAGATGGGCCCATTCTGAGCAGGAACCAGAGTTTTTCTCTACGGGTCTTACAGTTGCACTTTGTCACCCATCCAAGAGAAAACAAAAACAGAAACATTGGGGAGGGGACTTTTGCACCTGACTGGGGGTTGACTAGACCACCTGGGTCCCTTCCATCCCCCACACTCTATAAAATGTTCAGCAGCAGGACAATATGGAGACAAAATGGATTTGCTCACAGAATGTATACGTTTATTTTTTAACGGAGTTAATTCATGGCCGGGTGTTGTGGCTCCCACCTGTAATCCCAGCACTTTGGGAGGCTGAGGCGGGTGGATCACCTGAGGTCAGGAGTTCAAGATCAGCCTGGCCAAAATGGTGAAACCTCATCTCTACTAAAAATACAAAAATTAGCCAGGTGTGATGGCATGTACCTATAATCCCAGCTACTCAGGAGGCTGAGACAGGAGAATCGCTTGAATCTGGGAGGCGGAGGTTGCAGTGAGACGAGATCACACCACTGCACTCCAGCCTGGGCGACAGAGTGAGACTCCGTGTCAAAAAAAAAAAAAAAAAAGAAAAAAAGAAAGAAATTAATTCATATACCATAATTAAACAATTCCATAGTTTTTAGTATTTTTACCAAATCATGCAACCATTACTATTGTTCAACTCCAGAACATTTTCAAAACCTCCCAAAAACAAATCCCATGCCCACTAACAATTACTCCTCTATCCCCTGGCAACCACTAATCTATGTTCCATCTCCATGGATTTGCCTAGTATGTATATTTCATATAAATGGAATCATACAGTCTGTAGCCTTGTACATCTCTCTGGCTTGTTTCACTGAGAAGGATGTTTTCAGGGTTCACTGATGTCACAGCATGTGTCAGTACTTCATTCCTTTTTATGGCTGAGTAATCCAAGGAATATTCCATGGAAACATTTTATTAATCCACTCATCAGTTGACGGACATTTGGGATGTTTGGGCTTACTTTACAGGTGTAATCATGTAAGCATATTCTTTGCCTACTCCTTCCCACAAATTAAGGAAAATCAGTAGCAAAATGAAGGGCAAGCAACTAAAACAGCCAGCAACTGGCACACAGACAAGGAAAAGCACCTCTGGTTTTTAGGTTAAGCCAATGAAGAGTGGGGCCGAGATTTAGTATCCACCTAGTTCAAAACCCCTAACACTTTCCAAGCTTGTGTTCTGAGTTGAGTCGATCCACTAAACCATCAAGCGCACCCATGGGAAAGTCCTTGGATCAGCAGGAAGAGCTACAAATTACAGATCACTGGTTTTTAATCTGTCCTCCAGAGACTCCTAAGATTTCATGGAAGCAACTCATGGGCCACCAAGGGGGCTGTGGTTGGGGGTTAGATAGGTAGAACTCTGAGCCTGGTCCCCATCTCTGATTTAAATAGAACAGCCTTGATTGAATTGCTTTATTTGTGGGGTTTCTTCTAAGAGTTAATTTGGAACAAAGAAAGGGTGTTCTTGGCTTTAAAACAGCTTGGCAAGCATTCGTCAAGGTGGTTGTGGAATTGCTGGACTGTGACTGGGCCTCCCTGACAGCTGCTCTTACGAGTTCTTCTGAGGAACCTTGATGGTGACCGTCTTTACCTCTGTGTAGGCCTTAAGCCCATCCTCACCCAGCTCCCTCCCGTTTCCAGATTCCTTAAACCCTCCAAATGGCGTGTGGCAGGTGACGATGTTGTAGGTGTTTACCCACACGGTCCCGGCCTGGAGTGCCTGGGTGAAGTACATGGCCTTGTCCAGATCCCGGGTGAACACAGCCGCAGCCAGGCCATACCTGGTGTTGTTGGCCCTCTCAACCACCTCCTCAATCTTCTTGAACTTGAACAGGGGCTGCACAGGCCCAAAGATCTCCTCTTTGGCAATTCTCATGTCATCCTGCACGCCACCAAAGACAGTAGGCTTGATGAAGAAACCACGCTCCCCGAAACGCTCTCCGCCACAGAGGAGTTTTGCGCCCTCCTTCTGGCCAAGCTGGATGTAGCCTAGGACTCGTTCAAACTGCTCCTTGTCCACCTGAGGCCCCTGCTGGGTGTCCAGCTCAAAGGGGTTCCCCACTTTCCTCTGCTTTGCTTTCTCCACGGTTCTCTCGAGAAACTCATTGTAGATGGATTCTTCCACGAAGGTCCGGGAGCCAGCACAGCAGCACTGGCCCATGTTGAAGAACAGGGCTTCGTGGCACTGCTCCACGGCATGCTCCATGTCAGCATCGGCCAGCACGATGCTGGGGCTCTTACCACCCAGCTCCAGGGTGACTCTCTTGAGGTTGGAATCGCCAGCTGCTTTCTGGATCAGGTGGCCCACCTCGGTGGAACCGGTGAAGGCAACTTTGTCAACATCCACGTGCTGGGCGATGGCCGCACCTGCTGTTGGGCCATACCCCGTGATGATGTTCACCACCCCAGGGGGAAAGCCTGCCTCCTTGATGAGGGAGGCCAAATACAGGGCAGAGAGGGGGGTCTGCTCTGCCACCTTCATAACCACAGTGTTGCCTGTGGCGAGTGCCGGGGCAAGTTTCCAACCCTGCATGACCAAGGGGAAGTTCCACGGGATGATCTGGCCACAGACACCAACGGGCTCATGCCGGGTGAAGCAGAAATGCTGGCCATCCATGGGGATGGTCTTGCCATGCCACTTGTCAGCCCAGCCAGCAAAGTACCGATACACCTTGATGACCTCATCCAAGTCCAAGGCGTAAGACTCTTGGAAAGGCTTCCCATTGTCCAAGGTCTCGAGTGAGGCCAAGTAGACTCGATCCCGCTCCACTAGGTCTGCCAGGCGGTTCAGCAGCCGGCCCCGCTCAGAGGCATCCATCCGGCGCCATGGGGACCCCAGGCGGAAGGCTTCCCGGGCTGCTTTCACGGCCCGATCCACATCAGCCCGGTCACCTTCAGCCACGTGCCCAATGACCTCCCCGGTGGTAGGGTTGACCGTCGGGAAGGTCTTCTTGCTGACTGCATCTTGCCATTCATTGTTGATGAACAGCTGGTTGTAGGGGATGTCTGGGTTCAGAATGGGGCTTGGGAGGGCTGCTGCCGAGGAGTAGCGGGCGGTCCTGCCCTGGAGGCTAAGCAGCCGGGGTGCCAGGAAGCGCAGCATGCTGACACTCTGGAGAGGGACAAAAGAAACCAGGGTGAACAGGTGGGAGAAGGCAGGTGGCGGTACCCAAGGGCCCACCAGCTCAAACATTTCAAGATTCCAGCATAAAGGACTGTCACCTCTAAAAACACAGACTGTAAGAGCTGTGAGGGCCCTGATGAACTCTCTGGGCCAACTCCATCACGTCCCGCCTATCCTCAGCTCACTCCCTCACCTCTGCTGGGTCTCAAAAGCCACTGTCTCAGCAAGGCCTTCCCTGACCACCCTTTAAAAAATTGCAACCCTTCCCACCCCAACACTCTCTATCCCCGCTACCCTGCTTTACTCCTTCTCTATCTCACATCCCAAATACTATCTTTACAGGCTTATATGTTTGTCTGTCTCCCCCCAGTAAAATGCAAGCTCCATGAGCACAGGAACTTATTTTTCTGTTCCATTCACTGCTACGTCCCCGAGCCTAGAGGTATGCCTGCTACAGAGCAGCGGCTCAACACACAGTACTGAATGATACACTGAGAAAACACTGAAATTGCCACAAAGGCTGTCTAAGAATTGACCTAAGACTTGAGTAGAAATCAAAGGGACTTGGAGATGGTTGTTCTCTGAGAGGGACTTGCTTCATTTCACCTCTGTGCCTCAGTTCCCCCATATGTGAAATGCCTCATGGGGTTATGTTGAATGATGTCTTGCATATAAAAACCCTGGCAAGCTCCACTCAGGACATCAGAACTGGCCGTGCCTCAGAAATTGACCTAGCCCAGCATCCCCCAACCACAGGTCTCAGCATCCCTTTTCAGCTTTCCCAGAGGTGCAGCAAGTCAGGAGGCAGCTGAGAAGAAAAGCTACAACTCTGAAGAGTGTAGACTTCGTTAAAACAACTACTGTTATAAAACTTAAACGGCATATAATACATATTAAATGAAAATTAAACAGAGTGTAGTGTTCCCAGATTAGTTGAAGCAGTTATTCTTCAGTCAGAATTTGAATCTCTCTGCCTTTGATGTCTCATGAGTCTTGCTCCGCCCAGCGGTAAAATGGAATTGCACCTGCCTGTCCCTTCACCCCCAGCCTCTCACCCTCCACCCCTGGGCAGGGAGAGGAACAAAAAACTCAATCAGGAAAGCAAGGCTCCATGTAGGTCCCCGGCCCCATAAAAATCAATGTGATGGGCGTGGTGGCTTACGCTGGTAACGCTTTGGTAGGCCGAAGTGGAAGGACTGCTTGAGGCCAGGAGTTTGAGACCAGCCTGAGCACATAGCAAGAACCGTGTCTCTACAAAAAAACAAAAATAAATTTGCCGAGCATAGTGGTGCATGCCTGTAGTTCTAGCTGCTTGGGAGGCTGAGGTGGGGGCAATCACCTGAGCCCAGGAGGTTGAGGCTGCAGTGAGCCATGATTGTGCCACTGCACTCCAGCCTGGGTAACAGAACAAGACTGTATCTAAAAAAAATAATAATAATCAATGCTGACCAAGAAAGTTTCCCTTCCCCTTGCGGGTGTTAGGAATAATGCTCAAAATCCTAAGGAAATTGAACACTCGAACACAGGATTCTTAGCAAAGCAATTTTACTTCTGCGCAGAGGGATGCCTCCTTGGCCAGTTGCCATGAGAGCACACCTGAACAAAGGGGCACGAGAGCCTTTATTCCTGATGCAAGTCCTGCCCCTGTACCCTTTCCCCATTGGCTGGGGTCAGGTCGTACAATCTAAACTAATCCCGGTTGGCTAAACATTTGATTTATTTTAGATAGAGTGGGCACGTAAAAGAAAGTGGAGAGAAAGGGGAAAGGGTGTCTGTAATGAGCTAGAAAGTTAGTCTTCTTTCCAAATAAGCAAAGGAATGTGAGCTGGTACTGATAACGCTTGGTACTGTGGCATGCCTGGGCATCTAACAAAGGCAAAAAGGAGAAAAATGAAAAAAAAAAAGGGGGGGATACTAAGAATTAAAGAATAAAAGATTGATCAGATTATTTGAAGAGAAACCTCATCATATCCCACAGGGGGAAGCTGAGTCAGCAGATCTGCCAGGGGTGCCCAGGGTTCCATTTAGCTCAGGACTTTGCCATATGCTGGGACACAGCCCCCTTGCCACCAACAGGCCTGGCTCTGAGGGTGAGGAGACCAAAAGGAGGTAGGGGAAAGGGGAGTCACCAACCCATGGGGTAAGGATTGGAGGGGTGAAGCAGTCAGGAGAGGTGGTCATAGGCCAAGGCTGGCAAACCTTTGCAGCCACACCAAGGCCGTTCCTACTCTTGGGGCCTATATGGGGTTCTTGCTGGGGCCTCCACTTGCTGATAGGAAGATCACAGCTCACAGAGCATCATGCTTTACAGTTTGCAGGCTGTCTTCTCACGGGAAATTTGCCAAGCCTCTCTGCAGTCCCTGGGTGGTCAGGGTTGATGATGACCCCCATTCTGGAAGAAGGCTGGGCATCAGAGAGGTTCAGGGACTCACCGAGGACACACAGCAAGAAAGTATAGGAGCCTCACCCCAGACTTCCACAAACCTAGCTTTGCATATCCTCCTGAATACAGGCAATTTTTTACAGTTCACCCACAGCGGGAAGGACCGGACCTTCTCTATCCGCGGGAACTGCAGCGGCGCCCACCTCACCCCTTCTGCGGGGGAAAGGGCGCAACCTTTGGGCTTGTCCAAGCCTCTGGGCTATGGTCAGGGGCCCTCTGTTGAAGTGGGCCGAGTGGGCAGGAGTGTTGAGGTCGAGCTAACGTGGTAAGGTCTGGGGGCGTCTGTGTCCTCGGGGCTCCTGTAGCGTCACCCAGAGGCGGGGGATGGGATTAGGGGACGTGGAGAGAGTCCTACAGTGCAACGGCGGAAAGGCCAGCCCCCAGATGCGGACGCCGCGGCCCAGAGAGGAAAGCCCCCACGCGGAGCCAGGAGCTGCGGCTTCCCGAGGGAGCCGAGGGGAGACCAGCGTTAGTTACCTGCAGCAGGCTCGGGCTCCGGTTCAGGATCACGCTTGGGTTCTGGTTCCGGCCCTCCCAGCTCTGTCCACATGGCCGCCCAGGGCTGGCCGCAGGTCCCGCCTCCGCGCAGCCCGGGGCTCAGCGGCCAATGAGGCTCCGCCTGCGCCTGGGGCGCTGCCTACGTCCTGTCGCCGGCCAAGGCCGCTCCTCCCTCGCCCCGCCCGGTCTTTCCCGGTCCCCGCCCCTCTACCCCCGGCAGCCCGCACCGCTTCAGCGCTCCCTCCCTCGGGTCTCCGCAAGCCCAGTGTCCACGTTGCTCAGATCTAGGCTCCTAAGGCACTGGTTTGGGAGCGGAAACAGAGATACCCAGAGAGGGGCAGGGGCTTCCCCAGGTCACACAGCAAAGTTTTCGGAGACCGAACCCCAACTACACTTTGCATTTCTCCCCGCTGCAAGACGCTGCTTAATCGACTGCCATCCTTGAGACTCCCCTTAACCCCTTCTCTGCCTCGCCTCTCCCTCACTTTTTTTGTCCAGGATTCACTAATTTCTGTCCTCCACTTTCACTGCTCCTTTCTTCAGTTCCTTCAAGAAGATTTTATATTTGGGCATTTTTCAAAGTACATTTTTGTCCTAAGGACAAAAAGAATGTATGCACAGTGTAGAAAGCTTGGAAAACACAGGAAAGGATGAAAAAAGAAGAAAAATATCACCTGTAATCTCTTCACCTACGGTAGCCATTATTACGGTGTTCGTCCTGCTAGTATTGTTTCCTCTGCATCTTTCAAAATTATTTTAATAAAAATAAAATCATATAGTAACCTCTGTTGTGCTGCTTTAAAAAAAATTTAAAAACTTAGCGCTGTATTTTGAAGTTTTCTCCTATCACTAATTACAGATGACATCATCCTCTCCAAGGTGGCATAGAATTCTGTTGTAGGGGTAAACTGTTGGACATTTAATTGTCTCCATTTTGTTGCTATAAAGGTTGCCAAGATGGACCACTGAACATGCATCTCACTCGCTCCACCCTCGCTGCACCTTCCTTCTGGCTAGGGAGGTCCCAAAGCTAACCGCCATGTTTCCCAGCCTCATTTGCAGTTAGAGTTCTGGATGTGGACTAGGTGCTGCCAATTAGTAGTACTCTGCCGGATGTGGAAGGCGGGCACGCATTGGAGGGTATTGTCCTGCCCCTGTAGGGTGGCACTAGCAGGATAGCAGAAATGGGAGATGTTCTGCGGCAGCATTCCTTGTCCCTTCTCCAGCTTTCTGGCTGTGGACCGGCCGCTGTGGCTGTAGCCGCTCCTTGACCTGGCTTCCTGCTCTTTGAATGGAGGCTGCAGGAGGGTGTCTGAAGTAGCCTCAGACAGGCACGAGGCTGGTGGGCCACGTCCATATTGTCCTGAGAGTTGGTCCTGGTCTGGCTAAGGCTTGCTTCTGCCTCCGGCACTTGCAGCAGGTCTGTAAGCACCCAGTTCCTTGTATTAAATCCCTGCCTCTCCACTGATCTAGGGTGCTCACATGCGACTGCTTGGACCTAATTCACTTAGTTCTTTCCTTAAGCTACATCTCTATGGAATCTTTTGCTACCATATCATCCTTAGCATGTTCACAGCCCTTGCTGCAAAAGTTAGCCATCCATGAAGGCACTATGATTGGCATCTTATCACCTTGATGCCCATGCTTTCCTCGGGTTTCTCCAGCAACGGCATGAGCCCCTTGCCAAGGCCCTCCTGCCTCCCCCACAGCACGTGGACAGCCTAGCTCCCCTTGGGCACTTGGCATAGCACTCCAGGACTGATTGACTTAATGATTAACTGACCAATCCTTAAGAGGCCTCATTGATAGAGGGAGTGAGTTTATGGCAAAATGAGTATCAGTCCTCGTGTTAGAGTGCATTGGAAACTGTGGCAGGTCTGAGAGGCCAGCTGCAGACAGGAAGTGACCCCCATGCGGCAAGGTTGGAGGCTGTGCCCCTTGAGGAGCAGCTGAAGGAACTGGGATGTTCACCCTTTAGAACTTGAAAGACAAGGCTGTGCCGTCCAAATCTCTGAAGGGCAAAACCAGATAGGATCTGTGGGGTCCTAGAAGGCAGAGCCAGACCAGTGAAGAATACAGAGGAATAACTCCCAGAAAAAGCAGAACTGGCTAAGGCTGGGAGGGGCTCCCTTGAAAGGCAGTGGGCCTCCCATCACTGGAGGAGTACAGGGAAGGACAGATAACCATGTGGCAAAATCCTAGTTCAGATAAGAACTAGACAAGGGGCTCCCAAACTTAGCTATACATCAGAATTGAGTGGGGAGCTTAGTTTTTTTTGTTTGTTTGTGTTTTTGTTTTTGTTTTTTAACAATCTCCTGGACCTTGCCTTCAGAGAGTCTAAATTATTAGATGTAGGTTGGAGCCCAGAAGTTTTTGTTAAGTTTCTCATATGCTTCCTTTTTTGTTTTGTTTTGTTTTGTTTTGTTTTGAGATGGAGTCTTACTCTGTCACCCAGGCTGGAGTACAACAGTGCCATCTCGGCTCACTGCCGCCTCCGCCTCCCCAATTCAGGTGAGTCTCCTGCCTCAGACTCCTGAGTAGCTTGGACTACAGGAGCGTGCCACCATGCCAGCTAATTTTTGTATTTTTAGTAGAGACGGGGTTTCACTATGTTGACCAGGCTGGTCTCAAACTCCTGACCTCAAGTGATCCGCCCTGCTCAGCCTCCCAAAGTGCGGGGATTACAGGCATGAGCCACTGCGCCTGGCCAAGTTTCTCATATGCTTCTGATATATAACCATATTTGGGAAGCACTGGCCTAAGTGGTTTCTGAGGAGTCTTTGACTCCGTCATGGTTATTTCCAGAAAGTGACTTTGCCTGCAAATGTGTTATGTCTAGATTCTATCCAGCATGCCCACCTTTGACACTTTCTAAGCTGTGACTGGCATCAGAACTCACCAAAGTGGTCCTGTTGCAAGGTATTTACCCCTCCTCAAAAAAAAAAAAAAAAAACTTCCACAGTGCTTGACATTTATGGTTTGGAGAGAAGAATGAATGTGCAGTAGCTGAAGGTAAAATGCACAAATTATTTTTGCAGAGGGTTGACTATTTTCCAGGAATGTGATGGATTCAGCTTTTTAATTAACAAAAAAAGATCCAGGCCCTTTGTAAGGATATTGGACCTGGAGCCTGTGTGGATTGAAGGGGAAAGGGTGAGATAACACAAGCCACAGTCAGGTCAGTGTCGTCCAGGGATGTGTTTACACTGGGCTGGTGGGAGAAGAGAAGCAATTTCTATCCTTCAGCGTTGTAGAGCCTTATATGTCTAAGAAGTTACTGAAGAAGAATCCAGCTCTGAGAATGACGTACAGATCAGCTAGATTCCAAACAAAAGGACTGAAAGCTGCACTGAGTGTTTCTTCTACACTGAGCATAATCATTTTCTGTATTTGAACGGAAGAGGCAAGACTAGGTCAAGACACTGAGGCATTTGCAGGAAATGGAAATTTAAAAATAAAGATACATTTAAAAATCAAACCAATATATACTTTTTTCTTTTTTCCTAAGTGATCCTCTAAGTGAAGCTTACTCTCTGTGAACATGAGCAAGTCTGAATGTTGTTGAACATAACTAACCCCTGAGTATTTGCCACAAACTCTGTTCTCCTCCCTCTCTGTCTTCCTTCCCCTTCACCTCATTTTTATGGTTGAAGAAACTGAGACCCAAAAAGGAAAAGGGACTTGCCCAAGGTCCCTTTGGAAGGGATTAGGGGATTAGTATCCAAGTGCAGACTAGAAGCCAAGCTCTTGCACAATCACACAAATAACACTGGCCTGGAAGCAAAACATGCAGCTGGTGCGTGGGCATCTGCAGAGGTGGATTTCTACCCAAGGCTTTGAAGGCCCCCCTAAGGAGTGCTCCGTTCATGACTGTGGACTGCAGAGAACACTGGTAGTAGCCTCCCTATAATCCTAGCACTTCCAGATTTCTTGACAATAGCTTAGTGCCCTTCACTTCCCAGCCTCCCAACACTTGTGTTAATATTAATCTCTTCCTACTCAAAACACCTAGAGTGGCTTCCATTTTCTTGACCACACCTTAACTGACAGCATCATTGAGACTAAGGAAGACCCAACTGAGAGGAGGAGGAGGTTGGGGTCCGGTGGGGCAGGGAGAGAAGACTGTTGCAGTGCTTACGTGTGGCAATAGCACCTGTAAAGCACAGTTAGAGTTCACCCTAGCAGAGCAAAAGGCTCAGCTTTTACTACGCTGCCCTGGCTGTGGCTCCCCTCCTCATGTTAAGGTCAAGGAGAAAAGCCACATGCAAATGAAATAAACAGTAATTGAAGGCAGAGCCACGTGCAACCTTGGGAGCTCCTTCTTTTGGAGAGATGAGGAGGAGTTTGGACAGAGGTCAAGGGAGGAACGTGGGTGGTAAATGGAAGGGAAATACCAACACCACCCTGGGGCCTGAGAGAGAGCCTGGGCTTCACACCTGCCTGTCTCTTCTCCCACTGACAAGGTGACAAGCAGCACAAAATAAAGTAATGCTGCCTTAACTGTCCTAGTGAGGAAGAAGCTCCAGACTAGACACCACAAACTGGTAGCCCAAGTCTCAAGCCAGCATACATGTTCTATTTGGCCCCAGCAGAGTTGTGGGGTTTTTTTTCCCCGTTTTATGCTTTCTAATGCTTAAACATTGAGATATTTGACATTAAAATGTACTTTTCTATTTGTTCTTGAAACATTGGAAGACTTAGTACTATCAGGCCTGCACGTGGATATGGAACAGTGGCTCAACTAGAGATGCACGTAGTAGCTGCCCCCTTTAGGCAGGGCTTTCATTTTCCAGTTTGCCACAGGCCTCACCACTCCCTATTGCTTCACCTTATGTACACTGATTGTGGTAGGCAGAATAATGGCCCCTAAAGACGTCAATGTCCTAACACCTGGTACCTATGAAGACATTACCTTACATGGCAAAAGAGGATATTGTAGTTAATGATCTGGAGGTGGGAGATTATTCTAGATTGTATAGCCAGGGCCTAATGTAATCACAAGGGTCCTTATCGAAGGGAAACAGGAGTCAGAGAAAGAGATGTGGGGATGGAAGCAGAGGTCAGGTGATGCTGTCACAAGACAACAAATGCAAGCAGTTGGAAAAGGCAAGGGACAGGCTTCTCCCCCAGTGTCTCTAGAAGAAACTCGTCCCTGCCAACACCTTGATTTTAGTCCAAGGAGACACTTTGAGTTTCTGACCTCCACCACACTCGGCTAATTTTAAAATTTTTCTTAGAGATAGGGTCTCACCCATATTACCCAGGCTGGTCTCAAACTCCTGGGCTCAATGAATCCTCCCGACTCAGCCTCCCAAAGTGTTGGGATTACAGGCATCAGTCACTATGCCCAGCCTGATACACTTAATAAAGATTAGCACCAAGCTCTGTGGAAACAGAAGAGGCAGCCCTGAGTTCCTCCCCAGACTTCTTGGGAGAAGATGACCTTTCAGCCGAGCCTGTACCAGTTAGAGTTAGATTGGATGCATATGATGAAACAGTGGTTCTCAACTATGCCTGTGGATCAGCACCACCTGGGAGAGTCTTTGGAAACACCTGAGCAACACTCCACATTGCTAGGAGTCCCTGGGTGTTGTTCTGGGTTATCTGGTTTTGTTGTTGTTTTGTTTTGTGTTTAAGCTCTTCCATTGATTCCATTGTGTAGCCAGTTTTGAGAACTACTGACATCAGAGAAAACCCAAAATAAAAGTGGCTTAAACAAGAGAAGTGTACTTTTCTCTCACTTAAAAGAAGTCTAGAGACAGCTGTCCAGGTCTGGGGTAGGAGCTCTGCTCCATCTTCATCCCAGGACCAGAGGATTCTATTAAAGGGTCTTGAGGGAGAAGGAAGGGCGGTTGACACAATCCAGTTTGCAATTTGAAATGATCATTCTGGTTATAGTGTTTTATAGTGTGTGTCTCCTCCAGTTTCCAAGGAGGAAATAAGATTCCAAGTTATGTTACCAAGAACAGCAGGTGTTCATAATTACTTACGCTGGCAGCTGCTGGCACAAAGGGGTTCATTATAATGTCTATTTTTGTGTATATTTAAAATTTCTGGTAATAAAAAGTTAAAAAAAAAAAAAAGATTATGTTACCAAGTCAATAGCAAGTGTCCTCTGGGCTCAAACACTGTGTAATGAATCTGTTCTTTTATGACCTCATGATTGGGCCCGAGGGGTCCATGTCTTTCTCAGAATCCACGGTTAATTATTGAATAGCCCTCACCAAACCTAGTAGAGTTGGTGCAAAGGGCACTGGCAGGCTATCAGAGCCTGGGTGCTGGTTCCAGCCTTTCTGTGTGACCTTGAGCCACCACCTACCTCCCTCTGGGCCTCAGTCATCGCCACTGTAAAAAGAGGGGTATAGGAGGAGAAGGACACAAGGGCCTCTAGGAGACTGAAGCCCCAGAAAGTTGTAGTAAAGCTGTTACATAGTGTTCATTTGTTCATTGGCAGCAGAGTCCTTGGGCCACAAATGTTGGAGCCTAAATGCATGCTATTTGTTAAACCCAGTCAATTGACTTTCCCATCCTGTTATGGCTGGTTATGGGCCACTATAAGGCAATGGTTGAAGTACAAAGTATTGGCAGGGACCCAGTGTATCTTCATACACTTGCTGATGGAGCGAGCCTGAAATGCTGCCCTACCATCCATGACAGCAGGGCAGATCTGCCAAGGAGGGCGCAAAGGCTTTTTGGATCCACAGGGCTGATGCCTAGGTGACCAGAGTATGGGAGCTGCAGTGAGCGCTGATTACCCTTGCTTTCCACTTTGCCTCTCTGTCTCTAGCTAGTTCTTTCTGGTTCAAAGACAGTTTCCCCAGCACAGTCCCTTGTCAGGCCCAGCAGTGTCCACATCAGCAAGCATCTGCCACTCATCATTCCTTCTTTCACTCAGCTCCTGTTACTGCTGACCCACCTATGCCAGGCCCTGCCGTGTGGAGACAAATAAGACATCATACCTGTCCTCTGGCAACTCACAGACTGGGGAGGCAGACAGACATGGAGACTGGCATGTTTCCCTCACACAGTGTGAGAAAGAGAACCCAGAGAGTGGTGCCAAGAGAGCAGAGAAACAGGAAATGGGACAAAACAACTACACAAAGCCTGGGAAGGTCAGGGGAGGCTTCTTGGAGGAGCTGATGCTTGACCTGATTCTTGAAAGCTGAATCAAGGGGAGAAACAGCATTTCTGGAAGACAGAGCTGCATGTGCCAAAGGTCAGAAATGAGAGGGAGCCCTGTGGCTTTGGGTGCAGTAAGAACCTCCTCCTGGCTGGTGCCTGGGCTGTGATGGGATAAGTGGGGGCCATTGAGAGCCAAGTCTGGAGCCATAGATCATGCCAAGATCATGAAAGGCCTGAAGTGCCTTGCTAAGGAGTTTGGATGTATCCTGAGGAGGCACAGAAGTGACACAGGATGCTTCTCAGTCACTTTGCCAGCTGGGACCTCTGGTCAGCGATGTCCCCCTTGCCTGGGCCTCTCTGGGTCCCAGGCCTGCCGTTAGAGACACCCTACCCACTTGTCCCACCTGTGTTATAGCTTGTACCTGTGTTCAGCAGTTCTTGAGCTCTTGTCTCACATCCAAGAAGAATGAGGACATGCTGACAGTAGAAGGGTGAGGATGGGCAGAGAAGAATTTTATTGAACAATAGAACAGCTGTCAGCAGAGAGGGGATGTGGGAATTGGTCCCCCAGCCCTGCAGCTGGGTGGTTTCTCTCCTCAGTGTGGCTGGGTCTGGGGCTTTTTATGGACTCAGAATGGGGAATGCGTGTTAATTGGTTTGTGAGCATGCAAAAAAGGTTAAAGCGAAGACACCACCCAAAGGAGGGCATGAGAGTGTAGAAAACCAATTAGAAAAGGGTAGGCTTGTGTAAAATAGGTGAAGGGTGTGATCAGTCAGAGGAAGGTGTGCCAAATGGGAAGACAGGTTCTCAGTCTGGTCCAAGGATCTAACTTGTAGCTTGGCTTTTAGGCTTTGAACTGTCTTTGGCTTGGAGGTGGGATTTCACTGGGGACCACTCCTATCTGCCTAGGCATTTGGCTGCCTCCTGTCAGTATCAGAGGGATTTAAGGCATAAGGGTGACTTGGTTAGATGAGAACCACTTGATTTCCTCAGATCCTATGGCAGTGAGTGAGGAGTAAGTTCAGCTCTGAGTAACAGAGACTCGTATAAAAATGGCTTACATAAGATGGGAGTTGATTTCTCTAAAAAAGTAAAGGAAGCCCAGAGGGAAGCAGGTGAGGGAGGTGGCTCAATGATGCTCAAGGAGGTGGACCCCTTCCAATTCCCACTGGTCACCCCTAGCAGGGGAAACTGTCTTCATGATCCCAAATGGCAGCCACCACATCTACATTCTAGGGATCAGAAGGCGGGTGGGAATGAAGAAGACAAAAGGGCAAAGTGTGCATGCCTCTGGCTTTAGAGGAAGGCTCCCCAAAGCTAACCCCCAAACAACTCCATTTATATCCCATTGGCCAGAACTTACCTACATGGTACAACTATCTGCAAGGCATGCTGGGAAATAGAGTCTTTAGGGTGGTCAGAATATTGGGGCTTTCATTTCTGTGGCTTGGTGGGAAGAGAGACACTGGGGGCTAACTAGGAGGTTCTGTCACAGACCCCTCCAACTCTGCTATGAGGAAAAGATTACTGGCTCTGGTTGACAGATAAGGACACTGAGGTTCAGAAAGAGAAAATTACTCACTGGTAAGTGGTGCATCTGCAATTGCAAAGCTTGGCTTGGAATTCCACACTCATAAAAGCACTAGGCAAGCTAGTGGAGGTGACTGACTTTGCACTGTCTCCCCTCTCCAAATCTGATAATCTGATTCTAAAGGTCCCCCCATAGGTGTGCCTCAGTGAGTCGTCAAGGAAGAGCAACCCCTGCCTCCCCAATTCAAGCAATTCTCCTGCCTCAGCCTCCTGAGTAGCTGGGACTACAGGCGCATGCCACCACGCCCGGCTAATTTTTGTATTTTTAGTAGAGACGGGGTTTCACCATGTTGACCAGGCTGGTCTCAAATTCCTGACCTCAAGTGATTCACCCCGCTCAGCCTCCCAAAGTGCTGGAATTACAGGCATGAGCCACTGCACCTGGCCAAGTTTCTCATATGCTTCTGATATATAACCATATTTGGGAAGCACTGGCCTAAGTGGTTTCTGAGGAGTCTTTGACTCCGTCATGGTTATTTCCAGAAAGTGACTTCGCCTGCAAATGTGTTGTGTCTAGATTCTATCCAGCATGACTACCTTGACACTTTCTAAGCTGTGACTGGCATCAGAACTCACCAAAGTGGTCCTGTTGCAAGGTATTTACCCCCTCAAAAATAAAAAGTAATAAAAAGAAAACCTTCCACAGTGCTTGACATTTATGGTTTGGAGAGAAGAACCAACGTGCAGTAGCTGAAGGTAAAATGCACAAATTATTTTTGCAGAGGGTTGACTATTTTCCAGGAATGTGATGGATTGGAATGCCACACTCTTAAAAGCACTAGGCAAGCTAGTGGAGGTGACTGACTTTGCACTGTCTCCCCTCTCCAAATCTGATTCTAAAGGTCCCACCATAGGTGTACCTCAGTGAGTCATCAAGGAAGAGCAGCCCTTTCTTTTTTATTTTTGAGACAGAGTGTTGCTCTGTCACCCAGGCTGGAGTGAAGTGGCACCATCTCGGTTCACTGTGGCCTCCGCCTCCTGGGTTCAAGTGTTCTCGTGCCTCAGCCTCCCAAGTAGCTGGGATTACACATGCATGCCACCATGCCCAGCTAATTTTTGTATTTTTAGTAGAGACGGGGTTTCGCCATGTTGGCCAGGCTGGTTTCAAACTCCTGACCTCAAATGATCTGCCCGCCTCAGCCTCCCAAAGTGCGTGAGCCACTGCACCCTGCCTGAGCAGCTTTTTCCTGAGAGGATTCCAGGATGGTTGTTCCCACCCCTGGCCTTATAGAATCAGGAACAGATCAGGAGAAAGGGGGTCCTTAGAATTTCTGGTCCAACATCACCATTGTATAGATGAGGAGACTAAGGTCCAGAGAAGGGAAAGACTTCTGTAGATCCCACAGGGAGTGAGTGGGAAGGTCTGGATAGGGTCCAAAGTGAGAGCCCACATATAGTCCAGTCTTAGTTATGGCTCACCTGGTGCTACGTGTGGGGTTTGGACAACCTTTTCAGCTAGACTGAAGCCTCATTAAGGCCTCTGCTACGGGTTGGTGAAAGAAATTGCCCCAGTGTTGGAATAACAAAGATGCTTCCCGTTGTCTATCTGTTCACACGGATTATGGGCCATGGAATACTCCTTCCCTGGAACAGAGAGACAACGTGTGTGAGGACGAGGATAGACCCACAAAGGAGAGAGGGCACAAGGTGCTGTGGGCAAAGCCCCCAGCTGGGGACTGGACCCCAGGCTGTCTGACTCACCATGAGCCCTCTGGGCCCAATTATCCTCACGGTGAAGGGATTGCACTAGATTACAGACTAAGCCAGGTGCAAGGGAGCTGCTTACCGGGCCCCCACCCTCTGGTGGCCCCTGAGGAAGCTCCAAGGGGCCCGGTGGCTCCAGGCTTTCCTAGATCTGCCCCTGGGCTGATGCCTGGACATGTTCATGAGGAACGGGAAGGAAAGTGATCAGGAGCAGGAGCCAGAGAGTGTGGCCTCCACCCCGTCACGAAGGGTCCTTCACAGGAGGATGGTTGGGCTGGGTCTGTCCTCCCAGGCCCAACTTCTTGGGCCAGAAATACCTGTTAGAAATGAAGGTAGAAGCAGACAGATCAGGGCTCACCGGCTCAGAAATGGCTCCACTCCCAGCTGCACTCCTGTTCAGTGAATCCAGGCAGGCTGGATTCTGCTGTTAAAGGATGGGAGAATCTCCTCAAGAAGCCTCTCTCTAGGCTAAGAAGGGCTGGAGCCTGTGCAGGGGCCCCAGCCCAGGCCCAGGGGTGAGATTTGATATACTGAGGAATGGAGCATGGGCACAAAGCCTGGCTGTAATTCTGTGCTCACCCTAACCCTAACCCTTGTGATCTGGTTGGCCATGGTGAGTCATGCGGAAGTTCAGGGGGTCCCAGGCCAAGGGCCGTGAGGACAGAGTGGAGGTGGCACCTAGGGGCTCAGAGAGGGGCTGCTTACAAACTGGTAGGTGAGCATTTTGTATTAAAGTACCCGTATGGCTGTACTAGGGCTTTTCCATGGAAAACGAGTCTTATATTATCATTTATGACTGAGCCAGAGGGGTTCATCCCTGTGATGGGAAGAATATGAATTAACAGCCTTGTGACTCTGTACAGAAGAAGAGCCTGAACCCCAAGGAGGGTCAGGGTCCGTCCCAGGCCAGGCAGGGAGACTGGCAGGGCAGGGCAGGGCGGGGTGGAGTAGAACCCCAGGCTGTGCATCTGTGGCATTTGAGGTGCAATTACTGCCTGCTGGGGACAGATCAATGCCTCTAATAGACATGTTTATTTAGGGAATGAAAGGCTCTTTCACTCTTACCGAGGAGGAGTCACGAGGCAGCTGAACAACCCTCCAGCTGACCAAGGCTGGCATCTCAGATCACATTCCACCTGTCCCATGATGGGAGGAAGAAACCGGTGCACTGAACGGGGCTGTTTATTCACCAAACAATGTTTGCAAAGCTGCTGAATCATTATCTTCTTCTTATCACTGTTCTCTCCTTCACAGAGCATGGGGCTCCCTAGTGTGCAGGCTTCAGGCCTTGCAAAACCTGGATCCTCCCTGCTTGTTTTCCTGATTGCTGCTCTTTGGAAGCCCCTGAGTTCCATTCCCAAAGCTCTCCTGAGCAACAAAGCCATTTCTTCCTCCGGCCAAAGACCACCCCTGGAGAGCACAGGAGAGGAAAAGCAATTATTTTCGAAAACTCAAAGGCCTCCTCTTCAGGAAGCCCTGGAATCCATAGTAAACAAAGTTCCCCATCTTATCTGTGAGAAACCTGAAGGAGGATTTTAAAATTCTGGTGTGCCTGTCAGAGCAGAATACGTGTAAATAGGCAATTTCCTGCAACCTTAAGGCACGCTGGGAGGCAGACACTTACCAAGGTGACATTGGCCCAGGCGCCTGTTCTGTGCTTTGAATGTGGCACTAGAATCCCTAAACCAAGCCCGAGGGATGCAGAGTTCTGATTAGATCCTGCCTTGTGTCTCCCTAAGGTGTGAAATGCTTGGTTTTAGTGCACCTGAAAAGGTCACTGAGTAAGTGATCTACTGAATCTTTCTATTCATAAGAGGGGATATAGCAGGAGGCACTGAAAGATGATCCAGGTACAGGTGGGGATACTGAGACCCAAGAGGGAAAAGGACCACTGCACATCCACAGGGAGTCAGTCGTGAGTCACAGTAATGAATTGGTGGTTTACTATGTCCTACTCACTTTACAGGGATTACCTTACTTGAGGCTCATCACACCCACGTGGGGTAACCTAACACTGATTTCTATTTTAGAGGAGGAAACAGATTTAGAGAGATAGGGGTGGTGCTTGGTGCTGGCTACATATTAGAATCATCTGGGGCCTTATATTAATAAGTACTGATTCTGGTCTGATTCTTGAAGGTCCATTAAAAACAAGATTAAAATAAAAAGTACTGGTGCCTAAGCCCCTCTCCTGAGGCCAACTTGAATTCTCAGGGTAGGCCTTAGCCATGGGTATAATTTGAGGTGCTCCAGGTGATTCTAATATGTAGCCAGCGTTGAGACGATGGGGTTGCAGAATTTGCTCAAGGTTACATGGCCAGTGAGTGGTGGATTCTACCCCGGGAGGTCTGACTCCACTAGGCCTCACCTGAGCATGCTGGAAATCAGTGCAACTCATTACCCTGCAAAAAGTATCTGCTCCCCTTAACATCATCTTCTGTGAGCCTGAAACCTCTAGTACATGCAGCTCTGGGACCACAGGTGTGCTTTCTTTCCTGCTCTAAACTCTCCTGATGGTACCAAATGGATATGATGCAGGGTATTCCTTTGCTATTGTTGCTGTAACAATTGCTACAAATTTCCAGTTCAAAACACACACGTCCAAGGAAAGGTGCAGTGGCTCACACCTGCAATCCCAGCACTTTGGGAGGTGGAGGCAGGTGGATCACTTGGGGCCAGAAGTTTGAGACCAGCCAGGCCAACATGGGGAAACCTCATCTCTACTAAAAATACAAAAATTAGCCAGGCGTGGTGGTGCACGCCTGTAGTCCCAGCTACTCAGGAGGCTGAGTCAGGAGAATTGCCTGAACCCGGGAGGCAGAGGTTGCAGTGAGCCAAGATCGAGCCACTGCACTCCAGCCTAGGCAACAGAGTGATACTCTTGACTCAAAAACAAAAACCAAAAACCAACCCCTCCCCCCCACCCCCCACACACAACCAATCTCTTGCAGTTCTAGAAGTCAGAAGTGTGAAATCAGTTTCACTGGGCCAAATTCAAGGCATCAGCAGGGCCCTGCTCCTTTCTGAGGCTCCAGGAGAGAAGACATTTCCTTGCCTTTCTCAATTTCTAAAGCTGTTTTTCTTGGATTCCTTATTTCATAGCTCCTTCCCCTCTCGTCTTGCTAGTGTTACATTGTCACCTCCTTCTTCTGTGTCAAATTTCCCCCTCCCTTTTCTCCCCACCCCCCTTCCTTCTCTCTCTCCCATCTCTTCTTCTACTTTGTGAGGACACAGCAAGAAAGGGAGAAGGCAGTCATCTGAAAACGAGGAAGACAGCCCTCACCAGAAACTGACACTGTTGGACCTGAATGTCTCCATTCAGGTTCCACATAACCATCTGTGATCTAACTGAAGGCCATTGGGCCAAAAACACGTTGGTTGATATCAGTTTGGTCTAAGTAAAATTTTTTTTTAAAGAATGTTGTAGCCAGCCTCCAAATGGTTCCCAGTGAACCCTGCCTCCTGGTATTCCCAGCTGCCTGCATTGTGGGGTTCCCTCCCACACTGTATCAGGGATGGTCTGTGTGACCAACAGCATATGGTAGATGTAGCGGTGGTGTGCCCGGAATTGGTGGGTTCTTTGCTCACTGACTTCAAGAATGAAGCCGTGGACCCTCACGGTGAGTGTTAGTTTTTAAAAGTGGCGTGTCCGGAGTTTGTTCCTTCTGACATTCGGATGTGTTCGGAGTTTCTTCCTTTTGGTGGGTTCGTGGTCTCGCTGGATCAAGAGTGAAGCTGCAGACCTTCGCAGTGAGTGTTACAGCTTTTAAGGCAGCGCCTCTGGAGTTGTTCATTCCTCCTGCTGGGTTCGTGGTCTCACTGGCTTCAGGAGTGAAGCTACAGACTTTTGCGGTGAGTGTTACAGCTCATAAAGGCAGTGTGGACCCAGAGTGAGTAACAGCAAGACGTATTGCAAAAAGCAAAAGAACAAGGAACCCACACCATGGAAGAAGACCCGAGCCAGTTGCCACTGTGGGCCCGGGCAGCCTGGTTTTATTCTCTTATCTGGCCCCACCCACATCCTGCTGATTGGTCCATTTTACAGAGAGCCGATTGGTCCATTTTACAGAAAGCTGCTTGGTCCGTTTTGACAGGGTGCTGATTGGTGCCTTTACAATCTCTGAGCTAGACACAAAAGTTCTCCACCTCCCCACTAGATTAGCTAGATACAGAGTGTCCACACGAAGGTTCTCCAAGTCCCCACCAGAGTAGCTAGATACAGAGTGTCAATTGGTGCATTCACAAACCCTGAGCTAGACACAGGGTGCTGATTGGTGTGTTTACAAACCTTGAGCTAGATACAGAGTGCCGATTGGTGTATTTACAATCCCTTAGCTAGACATAAATGTTCTCCAAGTCCCCACCAGACTCAGGAGCCCAGTTGGCTTCACCCAGTGGATCCCACTCATACTGGTGCCGCAGGTGGAGCTGCCTGCCAGTCCCAGCCGTGCGCCCGCACTCCTCAGCCCTTGGGTGGTCGATGGGACTGGGCGCTGTGGAGCAGGGGGCGTTGCTCGTCAGGGAGGCTCCGGCTGCGCAGGAGCCCATGGAGGGGTGGAGGAGGCTCACGCATGGTGGGCTGCAGGTCCACAGCCCTGCCCCGAGGGGAGGCAGCTAAGGCCAGGCGAGAAGTCGAGCGCAGCTGCTGGCCCAGGTGCTAAGCCCCTCACTGCCCGGGGCTTGCGGGCCACGGGGCCTCCGAGTGCGGGGCCCGCCGAGCCCACGCCCACCCGGAACTCCCGCTGGCCCGCAAGCGCGCAGCACGCAGCCCCGGTTCTCACCCGCGCCTCTTCCTCCACACCTCCCTGCAAGCTGAGGGAGCCGGCTCTGGCCTTGGCCAGCCCAGAAGGGGGCTCCCACGGTGCAGCGGCGGGCTGAAGGGCTCCTCAAGGGCGGCCAGAGTGGGCGCCAAGGCCGAGGAGGCGCCCAGAGCGAGTGAGGGCTGTGAGGGCTGCCAGCAGGCTGTCACCTCTCAGTGGTATGTCCTATCCAAGATTAGATGATGAAAGATTGAGGCCCATCTTGGGCTTTTTTCTCTGATCTCTCACTCCGGGAAGCAAGCTGCCATGTGAGTCTGGAGAGGCCCACCTGGCCAGGAATGGAGGCCTCCCTCCAGGCTGCCAGCATCCCCTTGCGTGCACTTGGAAGTGGGTCCTCCAGGCCAGGCAAAGCTTCGGGTGGCTGCAGCCCTGGCTGACAGCTTGATCCAAATCCCACGAGAGACCCTGAGCCAGAACCAGCCAGCTAAGCCACTCCTGGATCCTGATGCTCAGAAATTGTTGTTTAAAGTTGCTAAGTTGGGGACAATCTATTAGGCAGCAATAGGTAGCTATTACAAGAGATACTTTCAGTCTCTTTTCTAGTATTGGTAATTTTTAGTCCCTCCAATGAGGCACTTTGCCAACTTTTCAGTAACTCAGAGCACTTTTTTCCACTTTCCGGAAGTGTGCAGAGATTCATTTTCTCTTTTAAAAATGTTCAGCTTATTTTCAGCCACTGATCTCTGCATTCCCATGTTCTAATATTAAACAAGGCCAAAAGAGGATGACTTAGAATGAACTGATGTCTGAAAATGAAGAATTTGCTGGGACAAGTGATGTGGCTTATCATTGGGCTTCACTGACATTGAGGGTGAGGTGCAGAAGGGACCATGAGGACCCTCTGGGCCAGCAGTACTCAGAGGGTGGTCAGAGATCGCCTCTCAAAATCATGAGGACTTGAGGCTCATCCTCAGACATGCCCACTTGGAATCCAGAGGGGTGGATCTTGGAGTCTGCCTCCTTGACGAGGGGCCCCGGGGATTTTCCCCGGTACCCTGACCCTGACCCTGACCCCGACCCCGACCCCTGCTGCAGGCCCACTCTCCTCTGTTGTTGAAAGGAAGTCTTATCCGCTCAGGCTGCCATAACAACATACCACACACTAGAGAGCTTAAATAACAGAGTCCACAGCTTAAATTTATTTTCTTGCAATTCTAGAGGCTGCAAGTCCAAGATCGAGGTCCAACAGTGTCAGTTTCTGGTGAGGGCTGTCTTCCTCGTTTCCAGATGACTGCCTTCTCCCCTTCTTGCTGTGTCCTCACAAGGTAGGAGAAGGGGTGGTAGAGAGAGAGAGAGAGAGAGAGAGAGAAAGGAGGGGGGTGGGGAGAAAAGAGAGATGGAGCCGCCATCTCATGCATATACATGAGATCCTAAGGTTTGGCATATTTTTCACATGAAAAGCAGGATGGTGAAGTGTATATTCAAAAGAACATTGAATTTCAAGCTTAAAGACCTGGGGTCTCATCTCACTTCTCCACTTAATCTTTTGTGATCCTAACATTTAAAAACCTAATTTTTCTGAGGCTCAATTTCCTGGTCTGTAAATTAGGGATAACAATACTCAACTCTCAGAGTCATGATAAGGACTAAAAGAATGAGAGCCACGGAAGGTGACCAGCACACTCAAGGACATACACAGGCCCCCATCCGTATTGGTTGAGGATGGAGGATGGAGGAGAGAGAATCAGCCCCAGCCTGGGAGCAGTGGGAGCAAAGGCCTGGGGTAGGAAGTGCACGGTAGGGGCGGGGGACTGGGCAGAAGGCGGTGGCTGGAGCTTAGAGCGTGTGAGGGGTCAGCAGCTGTGGGCAGGATCTGCAGGGACTTCGAGGGAGTGATGGGCTCTGCTGTTTATTTGCACGCCCACTCGGCTCCCACCCAGATATGTCCCCCAGACCCCCCACCCTATGCCCAGAGCACTTGTCCTCCTTGCTCTGAGGGGCGCTTGACTGCCTTGGACCCCCTTCCTGTCTCTCCATTTCTCTGCAAGAAAGTGGACCCCTCCTTTGTCTCTTTCCCATCTCTTCTTTGCTGTATGCTAAGGTTAAGCTGGACCAGAACAATCCAGAGACCAATGAGGATGTGAATGGCCAGCCAGAGAGCTGATACCTGTTAAGGCTTTGTCACCCTGTGGCCTCAGCCGTGTTGCTTCTCCTCTCTTGGTGTCAGCTGTTTATTTGCAAAGCCGGGGCTGGACTCGATGAACAGCGCTCAGTCAAAGGCCTTTTGTAGTTGAAATATTCCAGAGGATGCTGTCACTTGGAAATACATTCTCTCAGGTGAGTGAGTAATAAATGCAACTTAAGAGGCAGACAAAATATATTCCAGCAACAAGCCCAAGGGGGTGGGTAAGGAAAAGGTCTCTGAGGGTGAAAAGGATAAGGACTTCTGGGCTGGGAAACCTCCAAGTTCCCATCTCTTTGTGAGAGTCTGTGAGTCTGTTACATTTCAAGTCAGCTTCAGAAAGCACTTTCTAACTAGCAAAATGGTCCCATGATGGAAGGCACCACTTGGGGAGAGAATGAGCCCCCTGTCACCAGCATGTGCAAACAGAAGCCAGATAAACCATTGGCAAGGACACTGTAGGATGGAGGTTGTAAACGGAAATGTGTTCAAAGGCCAGGAATATATTTTGAGAGAGAGAGAAGAGAGGCCACATTCACATAACTTTGATTACTGTATATTGTTAAAATTGTTCTATTTTATTACTAGCTATTGTTGTTAATCTTTTACTGTGCCTAATTTATAAATTAAACTTTATTTTAGGTATTTACATATAGGGAAAACCATAAGCTATGTTGAGTTCGGTACTATTGAGGTTTCAGGCATCCACTAGGGGTCTTGGAATGTATTAACACTTTCATCCTACCTGTTCCTAAATCGGGATTATTTTGTAATCTGATGATTACATGTTTATAGTAATTAGCATGTAATTTTATAGTAAATAACGTGTTTATAGTAATTCTCAGATCATTGGCTCTGACAGGCAAATTTCTTTTTAAAGCTTGATGTTAAATATATTTTAAAGCTATCATAATTTATCGAATTTTTTTGAAAAAGAACAATGGGGAGGATAAGGGGGACTACTATAGATATAAACAACAGAATATTATTCAGCCTTTAAAAAGAGGGCACTCCTGCCGTTTGTGACAGCACGTGTGGACCTGGGGCACATTATGCTAAGTGAAATAAGTCAGGGAGATGATTCTTATTTGTGAATGTAAAGAGCAGCCCATTGCGTGTTTAATATACAAGCCCACTTCATCTGCTTTGGTGGATTCTGCATCACTGAGCCATAAGTATGTTAGTGGTTGGATGTCAAGAGCAGACGATGTTGATGACAACTGGGCAGGTAGCATCTCCAATGTGGAATGCTGAACAAAGGGATGATTCACATCCCAGGTGGGACAGAGCAGGACAGTACAAGATTTCATCACGCAGTTTAAAACTTATGAATTGTTTATTTTTGGAATTTTCTATTTAATACTTTCATACTATGGTTGACTGCAGGGTAACTGAAACTGTAAAAAGTGAAAACGTGGATAAGGGGGCACTGTTGTACCAAAGTTGCTTTATCCATCTAGCCATCACACAGAAAGACAGATCAATACTGCATGATCTCACTCATATGTGGAATCTTAAAAAGGTGAACTCACAGAAACAGAAACTAGAAGGGTGGTTATACCAGCGGTGAGGGGTAGGGGAAATGGGGCAATGTTGGCCGAAAGGTACAAACTTGCAGATGAAAAAGTTCTGGAGACCTAATGTACAGCATGGCTATTATTAACTATACAGTGAATAATATAGGAATGATTCCTTTGTTCAGCATTCCACACTGTAGATGCTATCTGTCCACAAGTCATTGACATCATCTGCAACTATAGTTAATAACTATAACTATATAGTCAACAACTATAGTTCATAATCACTAATAACTACTAATTAATAACTAACTATACAGTTAATAAAATTAGCCATGCCTGGCTAATTTTCATCCTTGTTACTGTACAGAATCCTTAGTGTGACTATACCACAATTAATTCATCCACTCCTGTTGCTGGCCATTTAGGATGTTTCCAGTTTCAGTCTGTTACAAATCATGCTGCCATAAACATTTTTGAACGTCTTTTGATGGCTGTGTGTACGCATTTCTGTTGGGTGCATACCTAGGAGTGGAATTGCTGGGTCACCAGGCACGCATGTGTTCTGCTTATAGTAGAAAATGTCAATCAGCTTTTCAAAGGGGATGTATCCATTTATACCCTGATATCTGTGGATGAGTTGGATGCTCCAAATTTCCCTGTATTTAAATATTAACCACAAATTTTTAAACACCCTTTGCAGGCCAAATAAAATACAGATTTTATCTGTAGCTGCCTGTTTTCAATCTCTCGAGTGGAGAGAATTCAAATGGCAGAGCAGCTGAGAATTAGACAAGAGCGTTTCCAGCATCTCTTTTTGCTGGAGAGCTCAAAATTGGCTCCAGCAAATGGTTCAAGTCTTTTTGATTCCTCCACTCCCACCCAATACTCGCCCCCAAAGCTTGTAAAACAGGCTTCCCCCTCCCTACTTACCTCCCTAGACCGCCGTGAAGATTTACTAATAAATGTCTGCACATCAGCCAGTGAAGAGAAGCAGGGCTGTAAGTAGACAATAATCAGGATACTAATCAGCATCACATCCAAGGGCGTGACTCCATTAAGCCAGCCCTTGCCCCACCACTGACCCCCCTCCATTCAGCTGCTCACGCCACTATTCTGTAAGCAATTTTCAGGCATCTGCTCTGGGCTGGGCCCTCAGTTATAGGCTGGAGACCCAAAGGAGGGCCTGGAAGAGTTCCTGGACTCACCCTCCATGGTACGAAGGAGGAAACTGAGACCCAGGAACAGAAAGGAATCTGCCCAGGTCACAGCACCCTTCAGGCATAGCTAGAGGCTGAAGCCCCTAACTCTAGCTCAGGCTTCTTTCTGTACCTGTGAGGTCCCAGACATTCTCAAAAGGACCCCCCTTTTCCCCTGGCACTGCCTCCCTGCCACTCCCTGTGCCCCCCACTGCCTCTAGTCCCCACCAGTTCCTCCCTTTGCAGCTGCCTTGATGAGAAAGGGATTCTCCCATCCCCTCCCAATTTCCCAGTCCTTTTCTTTCTCCTCAAATCTGTCAGGCTGGCAACCCTATCTGGGTCTCACCGTGCCCACCCTGCCTCTCTGTTTCTGCACTGAGGTCCTCCTGGGTGGAGACTCTTCTGAGGTTCTGGTGTCAGACAGAGCTGGAACTGAATCCTGACCCTGCCTCTCTAACTAGATGTATAACCTTGGGCATGCCAAGGTTAACTTAACCTCTCTGTGCCTCAGTTCTTATATCTGTGAAATGGGGATATCAACAGTACTTATCTCCTAAGGTAGGTATGAAGAATAAATAACATAAAGTGTTTGGAAACCATTAACCTCAAGGCCAGACAGGAGTTTTGAGACGCAGAGTGATGAAGGCACCAGTCTGTGGTCACATAGCATGTCTGTGGAAGAGGCAGGAACTGATCCAGGTCTCCTGGGTCCCAGGTCTAGGCTCCACGCACCACCTTTGAGGGATTTCTGCTGGGCTGCGCAGACCAGTTGGATAGAAGTTTTAAGTCAGGCAGTAATGAGACTAAGCACCAAGAAAGAAGCCCATTTCCAGCCCTGACAAAAGGCTGTTCTCCTTAATGAGAGCCAACCATATACTAGGTGTACACATGCTTTATAGTCATGAACTCTCGTCTTTGCTACAAAGTAGGCAACCACTTTACAGAAGAGAATATTGAGGCTCAGAGAAGTCCACAAGCCCAGTAAGTAGTGGAGCAGAGTGAGAACACAGGTAGGGCATGTGACTTTGCAAGACACTAGGCTGCCACCTGCTGTGAGATTAGGTTGTTCACCTCTGCATAAACCAGTCCTCAGATAATTGCATGGGTGCTGGAGACTGAAGTGGGTATTGAGATCTCCTTTATTAGAACAGGCAATTGCATCTAGGATAGCCCCTGGGTTCTTACAGAATGACCTTTTCGGAAAACCTCTAGCTTCCCTTCCACGCTCTGGCCCCACCACCTTCACCTTTGCCTTTACCTTCACTGTCAGCAGGGGACTTCAGAGAGATGCACTTGCTGTGGTGTTCGGAATCATATTCTTTTTTTTTGTTTTTGTTTTTTGCGAGGGAGTGGGGAAGGTCTTTCTACGTTGCCCAGGCTGGCCTCAAACTCCTGGGCTCAAGCAGTCCTCCTGCCTCAGCCTCCCAAATAGGTGGGGAAATCACATTTCCTGTTGCTGAATCCAGATCGCACTCTGCCTGTTTTCCTCACTGGCTTCTGGGCATTTCCCTTCCTGCTCTTGAGCTCAGTTTCCTCATCTGTACACTGACTCAGTGGATCCTTCAAAGCGACCTTGACTCCCAGGCAGCCACACTTTCCCCAACATTTCTACCTGCTCCAGGCAGGTGAGACTCAGCTGGAGGCCAGAAGGAAAGCAATGGATTAGAATGATTCACACCAGGGAGTGAATGGCTGACCTCCCTACCACTCCCCTCCTTCCTTATCTTAGCCTTAAAATAAAAAACAAACACACACAAACAAAAACACCAGGGCAGTATCCTGGTGGCATCTTATGTGGACTGAAGAAGAGATGGGAACTAATGAGGAAGACAGGTGAGTGTGGGAACAGAAACCTCCACAGCTTGAGACCAAACCTCAGGCTCTGGAATCAGACAGAGCTGAGCTCAAATCAGTTCTGTCACTGACCAGAATTGTGGCCTTGGCAAGTTCTTGCCCTCTCTGAGTCTCAGTTTCCACATCTGTAAAAGAGAATAACAACCCCTGCCTCTGTGACTTGTAATGACTTTTGAACAAGATAACACACATGCAGTGCCCAGCACCGAGCTGTGCTCCTGATGGGTGCAAGGAGGTGTGGAGTCTCCTTCCTTCTTTCCTTGTATCCCACCACAGGATGTAGGCTTCCTCCCACCTCTACCTCCGGATCTGGGTGTATGGGCCATGAGTAGGGTGGTCTGACCCTGCCATCCAGGATGGGAGTGTGGCAGGTGACCTCCCTCCCAGAAGCCCCTCACCCTACATTCTCTGGCTGGGTGCAGATTTTGGAAGCTGAGGGTTGGCTGTGGGACAGGCCTGGCTCCAGACTATGGGGTGCCAGCCGGGGTGGCAGCAGGAAGCAGCTTGCCTCGAGGCAAGTTTGGCTCAGCCCACTGCTTTGTTTAGCTTCATACACTCAACTCCTCGCTTCTATTTGAAAACCTGAGTCTGATGGGATGGCCTGGCAGCTGGTGAGAAATGTGGGGAGCTGCATCTGGGCAGTGGGAGGCCTGACTGCATGTATGTGACAGCCTGGCCCTCTCTCTGCCTGGAATGGCATTCATTCATTCACTCATTCAGCCATCAAATATCTACTAGGTGCCTGCCATCTCCCAGGCTCTGTGATAAATGCTGGGATCCAGCTGCTGGGCAAGACTGACATGGCCCCTGCTCTCCAGGATCTGGGTGTGTTGGCTGGGAAAGGGCCATTACTCAAAGGAAGCACAAGCTGGTGTAAAGTGGTCAGTGCTCTCAGGGGTGGGCATATACTATCATTAAGGTGTGTAATGGGCATTAACCAGGTGGAAGGGAGAGTGACTTTGTTCCGGCCAATCCAGTCATCCAACAATGACTTATATCTATTCCGTGCTGGACCCTGTACTAAGCCCTTGATCGAATTGTCACTCTACTCACCAGAAGCTCCTTGAGGGCTGTGCTGAGGAGTAGTTATTCTCCCCTGGACCTTCCCTGCAAGACCCCAGCTTGATTGTGCAGAAGGGACTCAGATACTGGAACTGGAATTAAAAGCCATGCAGAAAAGCAGAGAATCCTTCTTGGCTGAATAGGGATTTCATGGAGGATCCCAGGTTATCACCGGCATTACTTGGAATGCTGGGGAAATGAGAGACTCAGGATTGAGTCCTGATTCTGCTACTCACAGGCTGTGTGACCTCAGGCAAGCCCTTTCCCTCTCTTGTCTTTAATTTCCCCTCTTATACAAGAAAGGGGTTGAAGCAGGTCAACTCCAGAGTCCAGGTCACAGAGCTCAGGACAAGGTCTAGTACAGAACAGGGGCCTGGGAATGCCTATGTCATTTGTCACAAGGGGCCAGATGCAGCCAGGTTTGGGGATGGGACAAGCAGCACTAATTGGTGTCATTAACACTTTCATCCTACCTGTTCCTAAATTGGGATTATTTTGTAATCTGATGATTACATGTTTATAGTAATTAGCATGTAATTTTATAGTAAATAGTGTGTTTATAGTAATTATCAGATCATTGGGTCTGACAGGCAAATTTCTTTTTAAAGTTTGATGTTAAATATATTTTAAAGTGATCATAATTTATTGATTTTTTTAAAAAGAACAATGATAATATGGCGATAGGTTCTGGGACACATGAGATAGGATTCTAGATCAAAAAGGAAGCAGAGATTTGCTTCCAAAGAATAGAATGTAGAAAAGGAAATAGCAGCTTCACCATGGAGAAACCTGGCAGACTCCACTTTACCCAAGTGATCCAGGTGAGCCTCCCCAGTGATGTCATGTGGCTATCATGTATCCATTGGTATGATGTAGCCAGAGGGCACTTCATCTCTGTTGAGTGTTTTCCATAAACCTTAACCTGTCTAAGCATGAGAAGAACGTTAAACAAACCCAGATTGGGGACATTCTACAAGATCCCCAGTCAGTCCTCCTTAGAACTGTCAAAGTCATGGAAAACAAGGAAAGACTGAGAAACTATCCCAGACCAGAGGGGACCATGGAGACTCATGACAACTAAATACAATATATGCTGGATGGGATACCAGTGCAAAAAGAGGACATTAATGGGAAGACTGGTGAAATCTAAGTAAAGTCTAGACTTTACTTATTAGTAATGTACCAATATCAAATGTCTTTGTTTTGATGTGTATAGCATGATAATGTACAATGTTAACAATGGAGGAAACTGGATAAGGGGTACATGGAAATTCTCGGTACTATATATGTAAATTTCTTGTAAATCTGAAATTATTCCAAAATAAAATGTTTAATTTTTTAAAAAAAGAAACAGAAAAACTTTTGGATACCAAAATTAATAAAGTCATTTGGCAAAAATAGGAAAAGAATGATTAATAAACAAAGTACCTTACTTCTTAGAAAATGCCATAGAAAAACTCATTTCATCCTAGTTGATGGGGTTAAGATTTTTAGTAGTTATAAAATTACTGAGAAAAAATTTTGAAACTAAACCAAAATATGGGGATTTGTGTAAGATGTTGTCTTATAACCTCCATGCCTTGGCTTGGTGTTAAAATCAGAGCTGCAGAAGGTGCAGGAAAACAAGGGTCACTAACTCTGGAAGGGTTCCTAAAAACTTTTTAGAAGAGGGGGCATTTTGAATAGGGTCTTGAAGGATATATAGGAGTTATCAAGCTAACTAGAAAAGATAAGAATAGGAATCCCTGCAATTATATTTAATAATATTTATTGGTTACCTGCTAATTGCTAAGCACTAGACTAGGCCCTGGGACTTTAGCTATAAATTAAACTGAGAAATAGTATCTGCCTTCATGGTGGTTTTTTTTTTTTATTTCTTATTACTTTCTACAACAGAAATTACACTGTGGTAAAGATGGTGTGTATTTGTATGTTTGGTAGGCATCCTAGGACTATCAATCACTGGACCTGCCCACCCACTGTGCCCACTCTGACTTCTAAGGGATGACACTACTCCACATTCAGCCTCTGCTGCCCAGGCCTCCGTGTTCTTGCTCCAGGCTGGCTTTACAGGTATGAGACCTCTGCAGTTGTACAGGCACTTGATTTTTATGCTCTACTGTGGCTGTCTTGAAATTCCTAGTAATTTGGCCAGGCATGGTGGCTCACACCTGTAATCCCAGCACTTTGGGAGGCCAAGGTCGGCGGATCACCTGAGGTCAGGAGTTTGAGACCATCCTGGCCAATGTGGTGAAACCCCGTCTCTACTAAAAACACAAAAATTAACCAGGCACGATGGCGCACGCCTGTATTCCCAGCTACTTGAGAGGCTGAAGCAGGAGAATCACTTGAACCCAGAAGGCGGAGGTTGCAGTGAGCTGAGATCATGCCACTACATTCCAGCCTGGGCAACAGAGTGAGACCTGGTCTCAAAAGAAAAAAAAAATTCTTAATAATTTTACCCTTCAACCTGCTTTGTAGTGAAGTCTGATAGTACAATGGAGCCTGCACGTGAGCAGAGGATATATGCCAGGTGGTAAGGCATGCATGCGTGGGCTCAGGTCTGCAGGGACAGTGTACACTGTGCAGATCAAGCAGTTGGCCTTGCCACCTGAAGTGCATACACACTACACTTGGGGTGTGTCCAGGGTGTGGTAGGACCCTGAGGGGTGGCCAGGCCCAGGACCTGGGCTCATATTGGTGGCAGTGGTGGCAGGAGTCAGGCCCCAGGAGAGAGGAGATGTGGCTACACTGCAAACAAACCACCCTTGATGGCGAGTGAGCTCTTTGCCCTGCAGCAATATCATCAAGCCAGGTACCTAGGAGAGACTGAATGATGAGCTGCTTCCTTTCCAAGGGTGACCACCAGCAGGAGAATGTGCTATTGAGTGACTAACGTTATTTTCAGTTGTGTCCACTGAAAAATGGGGTTAGAAGTATAAATTTTGATGACCTAAAAAATGAATTTGTAGAAAAATGAGTCAAAGAAAGCTTATAATCAATCAAGATATTACTAAAGTATTATTGAAGGATATAGAAAAGAAGAAATAAGCAACTCCATAGACTCAAAACCTCAAAAACTACTACTATTTGGGTGTATTTCTCTCTAGATTTTGCTGTGCATATTTTGACACAATTTGAATAACATATATTCCATCAAGTGAATATACCATATTTGCTTTCCTTGACATTTATGTGGTTTCCAATTTTTTATATTAAGACTTTGCTTTACATCCTTGTGCATAATTGTACTTTTAAATAAACTGTTTCATTTCAAAAAAGCATAAAGTTTTTCATGAATTTCAAGTAATTTTTAAACCCAGAATCTCTGTTCTTTTTTCTCTATGGTCTTCTTAGGTGAGCCATTCACTCATGTGTTTGGTTATTTCAGTACTGACTTCTCCTTAACTTTATAATAATCAAATTTAATAGCTTAGATGAAATGGACAAATCCTTTGGAAGATGCAAACTACCCAAGCTTCACTCAGGAAGAAATAGATAACAACAATAACCCTATATCTATTAAACAAATTGAATTTAAGATTGAAAAGCTTCCAACAAAGGGAACTCCAGACTCAGATGGCTTTACTGGTGAATTCTAATACCAAGTCATTTGAGGAAGAAATAATGCCAGTTCTACACAAACTCTTACAGAAAATAGAAGAGGAGGAAACACTTCTCATTTTATAAGGCTGACATTTCCCTGATACCAAAAGCAGACAAAGACTCTCCAAAAAAAGGAGAAAACTACAGTCTAAAATTCTTTATGAATATAGATGCAAAAATCCTCAACAAAATATTATCAAAGCAAATTCAGCCGTGAACACAAAGAATAATTCATAATTGCCACATTGGGAAATAAACTAAATGTCTTTCAACTGGTGAATAAATAAGCAAACTGTGGTGCATTTATGCAATGGAATACTGCTCAGCAATAAAAAGGAAGACTCAAAAGGCTTCATACTGTAGTCCGCTATTTATATGACATTCTGGAAAAGGCAAAATTATAGGATCAGAAAATAGATGATTGATTGCCAGGATGGGGAGAAGGATGTCGATGGAGGCACATGCATAAGGGAATTTTTTGAGGTGATAGCATGGCTCTGTATCTTGATTGATGTAGTGGTCACATGACTGTATGTGTCAAAACTCACAGAACTGTATACCAAAAAGCATACATTGTATTATATGTAAATTATATGTAAATACAACATGCAAATAATACCTCATTTTAGTATATGTAAAGAATACCTTAATTTAAAAAAGAATTAAAAGGCCATCTATGCTTCCATTTATGATGTCCTGGAAAAGATAAAACTAAAGGGACATAAAATAGACCAGGATTGTAGGAGTTGGGGTGGAAAGAGGGGTCTGATTACAAAGAGGCAGGAAGCAGCACTTGGGGTGATGGAAATATGCTATGTCTTGATTATGGTGGTGGTTAAAGGCTGTGTGTGTTTCACAGATCTGTATACCTCAAGCTGGTGAATTTTAGTATATGTAAAACCTTAATACATCTAACTTTAAAAAGTCTTATGCCCCGGATCTCACATGACTGCTTGGTTTATCTATGGCAGCAATCCTTAAAAGGACATATGTATACATTTTTCTCAAGGCATTTATTTATGTCAAATTATCATCAAATGCCCTGCCTCCAGATCTCAGTTTTCTAATCGGTAAAATGGGGATTTGGCCCTGTTACCATGTCTTTTAATGGAGAAGGGCATGTATATTAGGCTGTTCTCTCATTGCTATAAAAACAATACTTGATACTGGGTAATTTATAAAGAAGAGAGGTTTAATTGGCTCACAGTTCTGCAGGCTGAATGGGCATGGCCCCAGCTCTGCTCGGCTTCTGGTGAGGATCTTAGGAAGCTTACAATCATGGCGGAAGGAGAAGCAGAAGCAGGTGTCTCAGATGGTGACAACGGGAGCAAGGCTGGGGGAAGTGCCACACACTTCTAAAAAACCAGATCTCGGTCAGGCACAGTGGCTTATCCCTGTAATCCCAGCACTTTGGATGCCGAGGTGGGTGGATCACTTGAGGTCAGGAGTTTGAGACCAGCCTGGCCAACATGGTGAAAACCGGTCTCTACTAAAAATACAAAAATTAGCCGGGAGTGGTGGCCCGTGCCTGTAATCCCAGCTACTTGGGAGGTTGAGACAGGAGAATCACTTGAACCTGGGAGGTGCAGGTTGTAGTGAGCCGAGATCAAGCCACTGCACTCCAGCCTGGGCGACAGAGCGAGAGTCTGTCTCAAAAACAAAAACAAAAAAACAGATCTTAAGAGAACTCATCATCTCAAGGACAGCACCAAGCCAGGAGGGATCCATTCTCACGACCCAGACACCTCCTACCAGGCCCCACCTCGAACAATGGGGATTACATTTCAACAGGAGATCTGGGCGGGGACAAATATCCAAACCACGTCATCATGGTTTTGAAGTTTGACAATCCTAAATTCAAAATCTGTCTCCATGACTTCCCAGCTGTGTGCCTTGGCACCTTAGGTCACCTTACCAAGCCCCAGTTACCTCATAGGAAAGCTGCGAGGACCAAATGGCAGAGTGCATAGTCAGGTGCAATGACAGGCACCGAGTAAACCTGCCATAAGTGGCACCAGTGTCTCAAGTCCTGCTAGTCCCAACGCATACAGAACTGTACAGGGAGACACAGAACTCTGGGATGGGCACCTGTGGTGGGCCAAATAATGCGCCCCAGACATCCACATCCTTATCCCCAGGACGTGGGAATGTTGCCTTGCGTGGCAAATGACACTTTGCAGATGGGATTAAGGACTTGAGATGGGGAGATTATCTGGCTTATCCAGGTGGACCAAATGGAATTACAAGGATCCTTATAAGGGAAAGAGGGAGTTAGGAGAGACAGAGGCAGAGAAGGGGATGTGCAAACAGAAGCAGAGGTTGGAGTGACGTGGGTCCACCAGCCAAGGAATGCAGATCACCTTGCTGGAGAGGCAGGGAGATGGAGCTTCCCCTGGAGCCTCCAGAGGGTGCCAGCCCTGGTGACCCATTGACACTTCTGACCTCCACGAAGCCACCGAGTTTGTGGCACTATGTTACAACAGCCACAGGAAATCAACACAGCGTTTCGGGTGAAGGGATCCTATTTCCCAGACCAGTGGGACTTGGTGTGGTGCATGAAGGGCATAGCTCTGAATGTGAATTCCATGTTCTTGGAACTGGGCCCGACTGGGGCAATAGAGAATGCAGGGCCCCAGCAAACATGGAAGCTCTGAGTACAGTTGCTCCTGACCATGGTCTAATGCGTGTCGTCCACCTCCTCCCTCCTGGCTCACAGACCCACCCAGTGATCCTGCCTCTGTCCTCTCACCCCCGCATCATGAAGCAGCTGCCGGTAGGCTGGACCTCCATAGGGAAAACTGTTAAGTGTGTGTCCACTCCAGAAGCATGACCCTCCCCGGTTTTCTCAAGGACCGTCCTGAAAACTTCACCCTGCGTCTGATGACAAACCAGTATTGAATTTGGAAGCGATTCAGATCCTGCCTTTTTTTGGCTTTGTTTTTTTTTTGAAGGTGCTTTCCACTGATGTCCACTGGAGGGTACTGTGTACGTGTTTATAGGAGGCTCTGAACACAGAACTCAGCATCCGCGTGGCATGCAAACACTGAAGTAGAGAAACATGGACAAAGACATATCTACACACGTGTGCCTATGTTCAGACATATGGATGCACACAGACTCACAAATCATCACACACATAGCAGTCACACATATGCGGATAGATGTGTATATCTATATACAGTCATACGTCACTTAATACGGACGCGTTCTGAGAAAGGCGTCATTAGGCAATTTCCTCTTTGTGTGAACATCGTAGACTGAACTTACACAAACCTAGATGGCAGAGCCTACTACACACTGAGGCTGTACGGAATAGCCTATTGCTCCCAGGCTACAGACCTGTACAGCAGGTACTGTGCTGAACACTGTAGGCAATTGTAACACAATGGTAAGTATTTGTGTATCTAAGCATAGCTAAACATAAAAAAGGTACAGTGAAAATACCATATTATAATTTGGGCCACTGTCGCATATGTGGTCTGTCATTGATGGAAACTTCATTATGTGATACATGACTATGGAGGTACATAAACACGAGCAAGTACGCACGCAAACATGTACTCATGAATACAGTCACGGTGCCATAAAACACACACACAGAGGTGCACGAAGCACATATCCACATACATGGTAGATATGTTCAGATACACACAGGTTTACATAGGTTCATCTACACACACATACACATACACACACACACACACACACACACACGCACACAGACCATTAATCCATACATGCATGTAGCCGATTATCATTGGCAGACAAACAGCCACATGCAGAGTGTCATGAATACACATTCTGACATGCAGACTTAAGCATAAAAACATAGACATGCATCCGTGGCTAAACACCAACACGTGTGCACATACGTGTACTCCCTGGCCTGGGCCTTTGCTACTTCACTTGTTCAAAAAATGCAATCCCTTGAGGGATGATTAACACTGTGGTGTTTTCTAAAGAAAACAATGGAAATGTCAACTTCATTGTCCCTATAGAACTGTTTTATTTGTTAAATGTTAGTGAAAGGCATTTCTAATAATGTACTGAGTCTTTTAAGAGAAAAATAGTAGCCCTGCTCTGACAAAGCAGAAAACCCAAACCATAGTTTCGCAAACACCTAATTAACACATGGAAGGCTCAGAGCTACTCTAAAAGAGATTCTGTTTTTTTTTTTTAAAGTGGAGAAATTTCAGATTCAGATAAAACCAAAAAATTATGTGAAGTTGAAGAATTGTTAGGTCCAAACAAGTCCTTCCTTCTCAGAAAGGGTGATGATAAAGAAACATGGAGACTTTGCAAATGATTATCAGATGGCCAGGCCTGGAAATTTGCCTTTGATAAGACAAAGACATTAAAATAAAGGAAAACATGAAAGGAGAGAGAGAGAAAAGGGCCTATGAAAACAGTTGACTCTATAATAACATTGCAGAGCTGAGAAAAGTCAGCTGTCAGAAATGCATTCCGCTTGGCAGCCAAGCCCTGCCATGAAGTGCGAGTGGAGCACACTCCAGCAGAGGATCCAGGGGGTGTGAGCAGCTTTGCATGGACACACGCTGTTTATTGCTCGCCTCTCTTCACAGGATCCTCAGAAGGCAGGGGAGGATGCTCAGGGTCTGGGCAGGACACCCAGGTCCAAGTCCCATTTCTGCCACCCCCATAGCGGCTCCCTGCTCATCCCTGGGTCTCGGTCTCCCTAGGTATACAGTGAAGAAGTTGCCTTCTCTAATCGCTAAAGTTCCTTCCTCCTCTGACACTATCATTACCAGCTCCCTGCACCTCTGACACCCCACTGCCTCTGGTGACCGGAATCATTGCAAGTGGCTCTGTTTGTGCATTTAACAAAGTGCTGGTTCCAGCCCATCAGCTCAATACCAGCGAACAATAGCTCAGGAATAGATAAAAGGCATTCATCAGGCAGCCAGGCCCAATTATCATGTCACGCTGAATGAATGTATTTTAAAATCTTTTCTGACAAGAAAATGTTCCATGTAGGTACCTTCAAATTAGCTGGAAAATCCAGAAAATTTGCTATTAGGCCTTCTTTGAAGAACCTTTATTCCCCCCCACTGTTCCAGAGGAATTCCTTGGATATTATTAATTCCTTCCAAGAGTGTGACCTTGTGCCTCCTGCTGGGACTGAGACACTTTTCCTGTCTGCTCAACTCCACGGGAGCCATTGCAGATGACACACACATGGCCCGAATGGGAGATCACCTGTCCATCAATTTCAAGTGTCTGGGCGCTAGTGGAAATTCTGTTCAGTTTTGCTCCACCAGCATTTGCTGAGCATCTGTTGTGTGTCTATGAGCCCTGCAATAAGAGCTGAGTCCACCCAGCTCTTGCCCCTGAAGGGAGACTCCACTAAAGGGGGCATGCTTACAAACAGATCAGTGTCAGGGGGAGGTCATGTACCAGAGCTGAAAGCCAGACAGACTTCATTTTGAAGCCTGATTTCGTCACTGGCTGTGTAACTTTGGGCAGGGGACTTCACCTCTCTGAGTCTCACTTTCCTCACCTCCAGAATGGGGGAGAAGCACATAACTCTGGGGGTTGTTGTGAGGAGGGACAGTTTCAGGGGAGGCAGGCCATCCCTCCCTTTGACCCACATCGTGGTCAAGGCCTGGCACCCCAGCCTTTTCCCTGGCTCCCTGGGCTGAAGGGTTGTTTCTGACCTCTTCTCCACTCACAATACAGCAATCTTTCTGCGGCTTTATCTTCAGCTTCATGGTGCAGATGGTTCCATTTGGCTGTGGCCTGGGAGAAGAGATTTCTTTGGCATGGTGAGAAATTGTGTCAAATGTAGAGCTACCTGGAACTCGTGGCTCTGGTGTGGAGATCTGAAAAGGCAACGGCAAGCACTTGGTGGAAAAGAGACTGACTCAGGGTATTAATTCCCAAGTGAATACAGAACAATCTGCTTGCATCTTCATGTGACTGTGGGTTTGTGCAGGAGCAGTTGCTAACTATGGGAGATTTCTCATCAACCCACAGAATTCCAGGGCTGGAGGGGGATCTTAGAGGCCAGCTAGTTCTTGTTTTACAAGTGGGGAAACAAGTCCAGAGAGGGGAAGGGGCCTGCTCAACAGCAAACAGTGAGCCATGAACAAGTTGGGCCTGGATCCCAGATGTCCTGTGCCCTTGGCCTCTGTTCCTCTTTTGATCCTGCTGTGCCGCAGATCACCACCTAGAGGACTGGGATTGGGCTCCTCTTTCCAGCCTTCCTCCTGGCCCCAGTCCCCTTGGTTCTGCCCTGCCCGAGCCTACAGACTCTTCTTGTTCTCAGCCGTGGGACATCTCAGGTTCTTCAGTGCCTTAGTGTGGAGTTCCTGCCTCCACCAGCCCTGGGGACCCCCAGGCCTCAGGAGAAGTCCACACATTCCCACTGGCACCTCTTCAGTGGGATTACTCCCAACTAGTCAAAGTTGGGCTTTGTGGATGATGGAATCACAGAGTGAAGATTTGACTCTAAGTTAGCCCTCCATGAAAGGGGGAGCAATTACACCAAGAACAGATAAGTGGTTCATGCCTGCCATCCCAGTGCTTCAGGAAGCCAAGGCAGGAGGATGGTGTGAGGCCGGGTGTTTGAGACAGCCTGGGCAATACAGTGAGATTCCATCTCTACAAACAAATTTTTAAAAATTAGCTACTCAGGAGGCTGAGGCAGGAGACTTACGTAAGCCCAGGAGGTTGAGGCTGCAGCAAGCAGTGATCGCACCACTGCACTCTGGCCTGGGTGACAAAGCGAGATCCTGTTTCAAAAAAAAAAAAAAGCACATCCTCACTGTGGCTCTCCCTCCATCCTGCCTCCCTCCCATGCACCTCACATCTCTGGACTGTACTCCCTCGGCTGTGTTGACTCTGCTTTCTGGAGGACGTAGCAGGGACACTTTGTTCTCCCCGCATCAGAAAGGTTATCCTGAATCATTCATCTCACACCATTGTACCCCCAGATCACAGAGACGTTGTGATCCAGAGGAGGGCTCAGGGTCCCAGCCAGGCAGATCTGAGTGCTGGCCCCACCCCCGGCTGGCTCTGTAGACTGAGGAGGTTGCAGAGGTGGATACTGGGGGGCAGCTTGCTCAGCACCCTTCTGCACTGCTGGTTGGAGAGGCTGGAGAGCTGACCTTGTGTTTTCTGTGTTCTCCCCACTCTCATGCAGCTAGGGCCCTGGGGCATCAAGTAGACACACTCCTGTGAGGTCTGCAAAATGCAAGTGAGTCAGGGGTCACCTTCCTTTCTGTCTCCTTGGCTGTTCCCAGCAGTGGGCAAGGCTGAGGTTTTCCTGTGGCAATGACCCAGTGTCTGTTACCCACATCCCTGGAGCAGTCACAGTGGCAGAATAGTCTGAATGCTTCCTCTGCACATTCCTGGTCAGAGTGAAATGAACAAAGTCCTATCTGGAGAAAGTACCAGGCAACACATGCTCAATTAGTAACTAGGAGGATGCAGATAGATGTTTTCCTTTTCCTAAGGAACCGCAGCTGAACTGGCCCTATGACTAGGGTGACTGCAAAAGTAAACACGAGCCACTTATCCCTTTTTTCTAAGAGACGGAGTCTTGCTGTGTTGCCCAGGCTGGAGTGCAGTGATACAATCATAAGCTCACTGCAGCCTCGACCTCCTGGGCTCATGTAATACTCCTGCCCCGCCTCCCAAGAAGCTGGGACTACCAGGACGTGCCACCATGCTTGGTTAATTTTTAAATTTTTTGTAGAGATGGGATCTCACCATGTTGAACTCCTGAGCTCAAGCCATCCTCCTGCCCTGGCCTCCCAAAGTGCTTGGATTGAAGGCATGAGCCACCACGCCCAGCTGATGCTTTAAAAATCTTAACTAAACCTGAACCTGCTTCCTCTGAGCCTCGTGCTTCACCCTTTACGAAGTGCTTTCTCACGCATGACCTCATGTGCCCCTCTGTTCAGCTGGGAGGTAGCAAGGGTGGGGAAGGATCACCATTCCCATTTCCAGAAGAGGCAGCATCAAGCAGGACCAGTGGAAGGTGCTGGGGTCAAGGTGTCAGGCCGAGCTGAGTATCAGCTGCATGAGGACCTGGGAAGGGGTGCTAGGGCCAACAATCCCAGAGCCCAGGTGTGGACTAAAGAGTCATCCAGACTAAGATACCCCTCATGTGCCTTTTACTACTTCTCTGCTTCCATAGAAACCTGGAGACTTGGGGATTATCTGTGGGGAGGTTCTAGCTTCCCTCCCACCTTCATAACCACACAGGGCCTGGGGACCAGCTTCATGTCAACAAGCCAGACAGTGGAATCTTCACTGCCAGTGCTGTCCAGTGAGGTGGGGTGGGCTCTCTTTGATCTGGGTTCACATGAGTGCGGGAGGAAGAGAAACAAGGCTGGCAAGGCGGGTTGCAGTGAAAGGCCTTGATGACAAATAAAGCAGCTTCGTATGACCTTGCAGGAGGGGGGAAGAGAAGAGTTTAAAACCTTGTGACCTCTAGGTAAGCTGCATGTTGGGAAGGGCACAGATGAGATGAAATCCATCCATCAAACAACCACTCAGTGAGCAGCAAGTCCAGATGGGGCCTGTGCCAGGGTGGGCCAGCACACAACAAGTGGGAGACCAGGAGAAGTCTCTAAAGCAGAAGGAAGAGACCAGTACCCAGGCTCTGGGCCAGGCACAGGCTGTTCACAGCTGGATGTCTCCACCTCAGACTGTATCTTTCGAGGCAACACCTTCAGAGGCAGCCCCAGAGGTCCACAGCTGCCAGCTTCCTCCTGTCTCTCTTGTAAACACAGATGTTTTATTACCTTGTCAAAGGAACGCTCTTACAGCTTGCCTTGGGGAAAACAGAAATTCAGCCCCTTCAGCCTCCTGAAAAACTGCCATTGTGAGGTCTCTGACTTGAACACAAAACTGCCGCCTTCTCTTCTTTGAAAGCAGAGGAGGGCCTCCCGTCTTAGGCCTCAGTTCCTTTAGATGGGAAAGGTAGGAGTTGGATAAGAAGAACCTCTTCCTTACAGTTTACCAGGTTATCTCCCCACTGGACTGGGGCCTGACGGCCTGGGCTGTGTCTCCCAGAGCACCTGCCAAGGTGTAGGCTCTCAAGACACGTTTGTGAATGAATGAATGAATGAATACATACATACCTGAGAGTGCCTTTTTGCTGTGTTGTCTTGGGATTTCAAAGCAGCCTGTGAAACACAACTCGAGTTGCCCTCCACCCACTGGAGGTGAAATTTGGTGGCTGCTCCAGGGTTTCAGGCTCTTCTTGCCACCAGGTTTAGGGTTGGCCATGAACTTCCCGCGAGTTATTTCAGATCAGGGACAGAGAGGGCTGGGGCTGCTCCCAAAGGACACATATTTCTCAAGGACAATTGAATCCCTCAATTCACACAACAGCTGCTGTCTGGTTTGATGCCCACTTCCCATCACATTCTAAATAATGATCCAGAAACCCCTGTTCCTGGGACCCAGTGAAGAATGACTGCTGAGGGCAAAGGGCAGCCTCAACTTAGCCTCTTGATGGCTGCCTCAGAAAGGCAGCTGGGATGCAGGAGAAAGAAGTAGACATTGAGCTGGGTGGATATGGATCTGTCTGACCCACCCCTGTAACTTTGGGATGCAGGCAAGTTCCTGGACCTCTCTGTCACTCAGTTTCCTCTTCTGTAAGACAGGAGGATTAATATGGATCCTGGGAACTGTAGGCTCAGAGTGCAAGAAGTGCTTGGTTAAGCTGGGTTCCTGTCCCTGGTTACAGCTCCCTCTAGTCACTGAGGGACCTTGGCAGAGTCCCTGAGCATCTGCAGAGCAGACCTCATCATATCCACCTCATGGAGCTGCAGTGAGGGTTAAATGAGATGATTTACATAAAAAGATTTGTAAACTGAGAAGTTTGTGCAACTCAATGGGCCTAATACTGTATTTTTAAAATATCTTCAAACAAGATGACTACATGTTCTACTAAATCGAAAGTGTGTTGGCCTGACTGTGGAGGTGATTTGAGTCCAGACCTGTGAGTTAAGTCACTTTCTCTCAATAAGTCAATGGCTGGAGCGTAGGGCATGTAGTGATAGTGGGAATTTGGGACAGTGGTGATTAGGGTGATAGGAGCTGATGCTAGAAAAACGGTGAATTAAGACAAACAGTTTTAGGCTTTATCCAGTAGGCAATGTGAAACATGGAAAGTCTTTCAGTGGGAGCAAGAAATGATCAGAACTGGCAAATGGAACATTCTAGTGGCCTGCATGGAGGATGGATTGGGGAGGGTGAAACTGGGGCCAGGGCAACTGATGCACAGTTATCCTGAGGTCCAGGAGAGGGATGGCAAGGCTGAAACAAGGTCTGTGTGACTCCGAGGTCCAGGCCTCACTCGTTAATTGAATATAGGATGGGAGACTTTTTACTAAGTGCAATGCTGAGGATAAGAGTATTAACCTTTTGTAGGAGGGGTTAAATGTCATGAGCAGGAGACAAGCATTGGTTGAGCATTGCTTCACCCCAGCCTCCCAGAAGGCCCCTCTCTGGCTTGGTAATGATTTCTTTGAAGTTACTAAACATGAACAGATTTGTACTTTGCTCTACTTGTTTGAGTGAATGTTTTTATTTAGGCCTTTATTTTTAAGGCCACTTTCTTCCATTTAAGGGGGCCAATGGCTTCCATCATGGAAGTAGCACTTTCTCCCCATAAGAAATGAAAATCCTGCAGGCCCTGGGTGGATGACTGGGTCTCTTTGTGGGGTGGTTTGAGCAAGGGAGCAGCAGGATAATGTCCGTGGGGCCAAGGCTGACCCCAGCCTCACTTTTGTCAATATATTCCCCCTGGTGTCCTCAATCCTGGCTCTCTGACGACTGGAGTCAATATCTACTTTAATGTGTTTTGGTCTCATTAACATGGACTGGATTAACCAGCCCGCATGGGCTTTTCAATTAGGAAGATAAATTTCTGACAGTGTTTACAAAGGGATTAGATACCTGCTTAGCATGTGACAGGCCTTGCCTTCTCTTCCTCCCTCCTTCTCCCCCTCCCTCCCTCCATCTCTTCCTCTCTTTTCTCCTTTGCTCTCTCCCTCATTCCCTCCCTCCCTCCCCTTCCTTCTTCCTCTCCCTCTTTCTTCCCTGTGTTCCATGAATGAATGGGCTTACTCTGTTTCCCTTTTAGGGATTGCTATGGTTTGGATCTGTGTCCCCACCAAATCTCATGTTGAATTTTCATACCTAATGTTGGAGGTGAGCCTGGTGGGAGGTGATTGGGTCATTAAGTTGGATTTTTTGTGATGGCTTTTCTGTCCTTCAGTCCCAAAGGTCATCTCAGAGCAGCAGCAGCAGCAGCAGCAGCAGCAGCAGCAGCAGCAGCAGCAGACAAGCTTTGAGGGGCCCAAAAAGCAGGCCTAGCACCGTCCCCTTGGTGCTGTTCTCGCGATAGTGAGTGAGTTCTCCTGAGATATCTGTTCATTTAAAAGCGTGTGGCACCTCTACCCTGTCTCTTGCTGGCTTCTCCTCCCACTGTGTGACGTGCCTGCTCCCCCTGTGCCTTCTGCCATGATTGTAAGTTTCCTGAGGCCTTCCCTGAAGCTGAGCAGATGCCAGCATCCTGCATCCTGTAAAGCCTGAAGAACTGTGAGCCAATGAAACCTCTTTTCTTTATAAAATACCCTGTCTCATGTATTTCTTTATAGCAATGCAAGAATGGCCTAATACAGGGATATTTGGCTAGATGGGCTGGTATGAGTAGACATGTGATTAATATCATTTAACCATCCTAGGTGACATCATTCCAGCTGCCCAGCTCTACTCCAGCCTTTGCTTGCACACCTCCAGCCCCTGAAAGCTCACTACCTCAGGGGCCAGCCCATGTCACTGACCACAAGAAGGCTCTTCCCTGAGCTGAGCTGCCACCTGCCCCCCAAAAGAGTTCCATCTCATGTGCTAGGCCTGCTTTCTGGGACCTCTCAAAGCTTGTCTGCTGCTGCTGCTGCTGCTCTGAGATGACCTTTGGGACTGAGAGACAGAGATCTCATGCCTCCCGGGGGTCTCCCTCTGTGCTGGACAGCGCACCCCTCTCAATGTCTCATCCTTTGCAAGGAGGCACCATTTGCGTCATACAGTCACATGTGTATAGTTTCCATCATGCTATAAATAGCCTTTTGTGCTCCTTTTTTAAATTAAAAATACATTGTAAACATTGTTCCACATGCTATGCCTAATCCTCAAAACACAACTACCCTTTTAAGCACTTCAGGGTATTCTGTGTGGAACCTCATGGATGGCTTCCCCATCTTCCACTGACGCATGCATACCTCGCTTTTCAAATGTTTTCACGGCATCTTTGTTGATTTGGCGTTTTCCTCCTGTTGAATAATCTCCTCAGGAGAAATTCACATTAGTGAGATGCCTGGATCATTTATCTTGATTTGACTTTTGGTACATATTATTAGATCGCCTTGCAAAATGTCTGCTACAGGATAAGTTTTACCTCCCCAGCGGAGTGTATCACTTCAGCTAGAAACTCATTTTAATATACATATTTTTTTATTTTGTGGGAATAAAGCCATCTCGAGGTTGTTTTAATTTGATATCTTGCACCGAGGATTAAAGAAAAGTAAAGCAAAAGAGGGGGGAAAGACATTTTTCTTTGTGTTGGATTGTTATTTGTCTTTCTCCGGTGTGAATTGTCTGTTTGAACCCTTTGCTCATTTACATATTGGGGTATTGATGTTTTGCTTACAAATTCCAGTGAGCTCTTGAATTAAACCTTAGTCTGTCCTTAGACTAAGGTTTCTCCCTAGAACTTTCACTTTTATTTTAATCATGTTGCTCTTCCTGTTTTCTGCCTGGGGGAGCCCACCATTTAGGACTAGAAGACAAGCTTGGGCACTGACTGCCCAGCTCCTACAACTGGCACCACCGAGGTCCCAAAGAAGAATATTAATAAAAGCACTGTACTGGATGCTCTGGGTATATCTCTTCTACTCCTCAAAGTAACCCTGACAGGACATTGTGCCTATGTTACAGATGTGGAAACAGGCTCAGAGGGGTGGCGCGTGTGCTGCAGGTCTCACAGCAGGCACACCAGAGGTGGTGCAGGTAAGCATTGTCTCTGGGTTTGTTATCCTTTTCCACAATACCAGCAGCCTGCGGAGGAGTAAGAAAACATCTGCTGCCAACATCTCCAGGTTTGTGACTTCAAACTCCCCTGGCAGAGGAGGGAACTACCATATTTGGGGACAATTTACATCAAATTACCATGCACCAGCCAACAGCTGCCGCCTGGAGCGGGAGGCTGGCTGCACAGAGCCATCACATTTATACACATGATAATGAAAACCCGCACGCGGGCCTCCACGTTCTCCCATAAATATGGTCATTATGATCTTGTTGGCATTGCTTGTTGAATTCCATCTTGCAAATTGTTTCCTGGTTGCCTAGGGGAGCTGACTTGGGCTCTTCTCAGTCTCCTTTCCTCTAGACATGACAGTGTTTGGGGTTTGCCCACTGTCCTCAGACCATCCTCTGGCACAATTCTCAGGACAGCCTCCACCCCATGCTATGAGCAGTCAGCAAGTTCCCACTGTGTGCACCATGCGTGGGACTGATTGCAGAGAGCCGCAGAGCTGAGAGGGCTCTCAGGGCAGCTGACAGGCCCACTCCTGCATTTTACAGACTGACAGGATACAGGACAGGAGTGGGGTCAAAGTCCAAGATTAAAAAGGACCCTTTGCATACCCTCCCTGTGCTGAACCCTGGAAGGGTAGCACACAAACCTCCCCAGGGCACCCAGGGCTTAGGCAGGCCATGGCTCAAAGTCCGCACTGTAAATAATAGAAATCTTTCTCAGCTAGCTGGAGGACAGGGAGTGGCAGTGAGGAGATTTGTTACAAGGAATCTCATGAAATCCAGGGGCTAAATTGGGCCACATCTCCAGAAGGACTAGAAACAGGAAGTGGAAAGCCAATAGGAAAGCAAGGCACCCTCTTCAGCTCTTGTCTGCTTCCCTCTGCAGAGGGACTCCGATCTCCTGTCTTTGAATGAACATCCCCTGTTCCTCCCTGTACGTGGTAGAACATGGACACCCCAAGTGTCATGTTTCTATGTGACAAGTCCAGCCATCCACAGGGTGGCTGTCTCCGGCGTCCCAATTCTAAATTACCAAAGAACTGAAGAATGGGCTCTAACGGGCTCATCTTGGGTCAGGTGCTTACTTCTGGTGCCATCACCTGTAGCCAAGAGGGTCAGCTCAGCTTCTAACACATGGCAGCTGACAGCCCATCCTTGTGGGCAGGACTGCAAGATTACAAGGAAAGGGAGCTGAGAAGATGACCAAATTGGCTTCTGCCATACCTTCAGCCTAGTACTATTTTTGAGACACGGTCTCTCTATGTTGCCCAGGCTGGTCTTGAACTCCTGGGCTCAAGGATCCTCCTTCCTTGGCCTCCCAGAGTGCTGGGACTACAGGCATGTATTAGTTCATTCTCACGCTGCTAACAAAGACATATCCAAAACTGGGTAATTTATAAAGGAAAGAGGTTTAATTGACTCACAGTTCAGCATGGCTGGGGAGGTCTCTGGAAACTTACCATCATGGCAGAAGGGGAAGCAAACATATTCTTCTTCACATGGCAGCAGGAAGGAGAATGAGTGCTGAGCAAAGGGGTAAAAGTCCCTTATAATACTATCAGATCTCTTGAGAACTCACTCACTATCATGAGAACAGCAGCATGGGGGTAACTGCCCCCATGATTCAATTACCTCCCACCAGGTCCCTCCAACAACATGTGGGGATTATGAGAACTACAATTCAAAATGAGATTTGCATGGGGACACAGCCAAACTATATGAAGGCATGAGCCACCACACCTGGCCTAGCACTTTTTTAATAATTAAAAATTTTCCTGAGATAACTGTAGAATCACATGCAGTTGTAAGACAGAATGCAGAGAGAACTCTTATGCACTTTGCCAAGTTTCCCCTCAATGGTGACATTTTGCAAGACCATAGTATAATATCACAATCAGAATATTGATATTGATAAAAGCCACACATCTCATTCAGATTTCACCAGTTTTACTTGTACTCAATTGTGTGTGTGTGTTAAGTTTTACACAATCTTATCCCCTGGGTAGATCTTTGTATGGGATACAACCACACCATAGTCAAGATATTGAACGGTTCCAACACCACCAAGATTCCTTGTGTAGCCCTTTGTGGTAAGCTGAATAATGCAACTACCACTATCCCCCAAGAGATACAGGTCCTAATCCCTGGAATCTGTGAATGTTATAGGGACTTTGCAGATGTACTTAAGTTAAGGATCTTCAAAGGGGGAGATGATGCTGCTGGATTATCCAGGTAGGCCCTAAAAGTAATCACAGGGGTTCTTGTGAGAGGGAGGCAAGAAGGTCAAAGCAGGAAGTAAGAAATGTGATGATGGATGCAAGAGGCTAAGGTGATGCAAGGAAGAGGTCATGAGTCAAAGAATGCAGACGGCCTCATGAAGCTGAAAAAGGCAAAACACAGGTTTCCCCCTGGAGTCTTCAGTGGGACTGCGGCCCTGCCAACACCTTGACTTTAGCCCAGTGAAACTAATTTTGGACTTCTGATCTCCAGAACTGAGAGAGAATACATTTGTATTGCTTTAAGGCACTAAGTTTGTGGTCATTTATTACAGAAGAAATTAGAAATTAATATACCCTTTTATGAAGAATTCAGCAAAGTTTTTGGATACAAAATCAATGTATACAAATCAGTAGCTCTTCTATACACCAGCAATGACCAAGCTGAGAATCAAATCAAGAACTCAACTCCTTTTACAATAGCTGCAAAAATAAAATAAAATACTTAGGAACATACCTAACCAAGGAGGTGAAAGACCTCTGCAAGAAAAACTACAAAACACTGCTGAAAGAAATCACAGATGAAACAAATGGAAACACATTCCATGCCCATGGATAGGTAGAATCAATATTGTGAAAATGACCATACTGCCAAAAGCAATCTACAAATGCAACACAATTCCCATCAAAATACCACCATCATTCTTCACAGAATTAGAAAAAAAAATCCTGAAATTCATATGGATGAAAAAAGAGCCCACATAGCCAAAGCAAGACCAAGCAAAAAAGAACAAATCTGGAAGCATCACATTACCTGATTTCAAACTATACTATAAGGCCATATTCACCAAAACAGCATGGTACTGGCATAAAAATAGGCACATAGACCAATGGAACAGAATATAGAACTCAGAAATAAACCCCAATACTTACAGCCAACTGATATTTGACAAACCAAACGAAAACATAAAGTGGGGAAAGGACACCCTATTCAACAAATGGTACTGGGATTGGCAAGCCACATGTTGGAGAACGAAACTGGATCCTCATCTCTCACCTTATACAAAAATCAACTCAAGATGGATCAAGGACTTAAAGACCTAAAACTATGAAAATTCTGGAAGACAACATTGGAAAAACCCTTCTAGACATTGGCTTCGGTAAGGATTTCATGACCAAGAACTCCAAAGCAAATGCAATAAAAACAAAGGTAAATAGCTGGGACTTCATTAAACTAAAGCACTTTTGCATGGCAAAGGGAACAGTCAGCAGTGTAAACAGACAACCCACAGAGTGGGAGAAAATCTTCACAATCTATTCATCTGACAAAGGACTAATATCTGGGATCTACAACAAACTCAAACAAATTAGCAAGAAAAAAACAAACGATCCCATCAAAAAGTGGGCTAAGGACATGAATAGACAATTCTCAAAAGAGGTTATACAAATGGCCAACAAACATATGAACAAAATGCTTAACATCACTAATGATCAGTGAAATGCAAATCAAAACCACAATGTGATATCACCTTACTCCCGCAAGAATGGCCATAATAAAAAATAATAGATGTTGGCGTGGATACAGTGAATAGGGAACACTTCTACACTGCTGGTGGGAATGTAAACTACAACCACTATGGAAAACAGTATGGAGATTCCTTAAAGAACGAAAAGGAGAACTACCATTTGAGTTAACAATCCAACTGCTGGGTATCTACCCAGAGGGAAAGAAGTCATCATATGAAAAAGATACTTGCACATGCATGGTTATAACAGCACAATTCACAATTGCAAAACATAGAACCAACCTAAATGCCCATCAATCAATGAATGGATAAACTGTTGTATTATACACACACACACACACACACACACACACACACACACATATATATATTCCATCATATATATATGATGGCATACTACTCAGCTATAAAAGGGAATAAATTAATGGCATTCACAGTGACCTGGATGAGATTGGAGACTATTATTCTGAGTGAAGTAGCTCAGGAATGGAAAACCAAACACTGTATGTTCTCACTCATACGTGAGAGATAATCTATGAGAAAGTAAAGGCATAAGAAAGACACAGTGGACTTTGGGGACTCAGAGAGAAAGGGTGGGAAGGTGGTGAGGGATAAAAGAGCACAAATTGGATGCAGTGTATACTGCTCGGGTGATGGATCCACCAAAATCTCACAAATCACCACCAAAGAACTTACTCACGTAACCGAACACCACCTGTTTCCCAATAACCTATGGGAATAAAAAATTAATAAAAAAGAAATTAATATACCCTTTTATGACTGCACCCACCTCCATCCCAGCACCTGCCCTCCCCAGCAACCACTAATGTGTCTTCAATATCTAAAATTTTACCATTTCATAAATGTTATATAAATGGAATCATACATATGTAACATTTTGGAATTTGCTAGAGAGGGCCAAGAAGGGCCTCTGGAGCTCCAGAGAGAGAGAGATTGGGTTGGAGATGCAGGTTCAGAGGTGATGGTGTCCCATGGCTACAGGAGCCCAAGGGTGGCTGAGATTACCCAGACAGAGAAGGAGGAGGGACAGCAGGTGGGGCTGTCAACATTTAGGGGATGAACAGAGAAGGAAGATCCTGGGAAGGACACTGAGAAGGATCAGTTGGAAAGGGGGGTCGTCACAGGACTCACTGGTAGGGCTCAATGCTTGGTGGCCATGACATTTACTAGGGAGGACAGGGCATTCCTGACAATGCTGCCTTCTATGGGGTACATCCTGTGTGCTTGGCCCTGCTCTGTGCCCCGCTCAGTTCTTACCTCACCACCTGTGAGATAGGTTTTTCATTTTGTATTGTTTTGTTTTGTTTTTGAGACAGGGTCTCACTCTCTCAGCCAGGATGGAGTATAGTGGCGTGATCAGAGCTCACTGCAGCCTTGACCTCCTGGGCTTAAGCAATCCTCTTGCCTCAACCTCCCATGTAGCTGGGACCACAGGCACGTGACGGCATGCTTGGCTAATTTTAAAAAATTTTTTGTAGACAAGGTCTCATTATGTTGCCCAGGCTGCTCTTGAATTCCTGAGCTCAAGCAATCCTCTCCTCTATCTTGGCCTCTCAGGGTGCTGGGATTACAGGTGTGAGCCACTGCATCTGGCTGAGATAGGTATTATTACATCAATTTAGGTGAGAAGACCGGGGCTCTGAGTGGTGAAGGGACCTGCCAAGGACACCTGGCTGGTAAGTGGCAGAGTTGGGAATGGAACCTGGGCTGTCTCTCTGGGCTCTGGTGATTGTGTGTTAAACTCTTCTGAGTCAGAGAGAGTGGGGGCAAAAGAATAGGAGTTGGAATGAATTGGCTTGGACAAGTGCATGGGCTGGGGTGCTGAGGAAGAGGGCGTGGATCTGAGCCACAGCCTGCTGGCATCTGTGGAGAGGACAGCACTGGGGGTGGGAGGAGGGGGAAAGGGGAATGTAGGGCATTGTTGAAAGAGGAGCTAGTCCAGAGGAAGAGGCTGCAGACTAAGGAGAGACAGACAGACAGACAAGAAGCCTGGAAGAGTGGGAGCCAGAACCCAAGGGGCTGAAGGGCCAGCCCTGCACCTGGTGAAGGATGCACGTTAACAAGAGGGCCCCTTCTGGGGCTCCCTCCCTTTTCCTAGGTCTCCCCTTAAAAGAGGGGAACTGGCTCCTCCCAAGGCTCCTTTGCCCCTTCTCTGAGCTATCCACACCCCCCTTGTTGCCTGGTGAGGAGCAGCAGGGGATTCTAAACAAAGACATCAGGGAACTGGAACAAGAATGGATCATAACCATCCCAGCGCCTGCCAAGTCCCCCACCCCTCACACACACACCCCTGGGCTCCCGCAAACACTCCCTGGCTCAGGCCCAGCGCGGGGCCTTCTGGTGAGAACCCCTCCCTGGGAGTGCAGCCTTCTGGGCCGCTTTCTTCTCAGTAGGACTGAGCTGTCAGGCGCCTCCCAGAGATTTCAAGACGGCTCCCCTCCCCCAAGGGATGCCTTTGTCTTTGTCTCCATAGAAGAGGCAGCAGCAGGGGGTGGGGTTTGGAAGAGGGGAAATGAGACAGGGTCCTTGCACCCAGAAAGCCTAATTGGGGTGAAGGGTGGCCAGACACGGATGCTTTTTGTGTGGGTCATAGGAGCTCAGAGGACTGAGAGGTCCCTGCCTTCTGGAAGGTAGTCAGAGAGGACTTCATGGAGGAGATGGCCTTTGGGCTGTCCTGGAAGGACAGTAGATTAGATGGGCAGAGATGAGGAGGAAGAGTGTTTCCAAGTGAAGGGACCACATGACCCAAGGCTCGGAGGTGGGAGAGAACCAGGGGTACTGGAGAATAGGAGGTGGGCCCGTGTGAGTGGCCCTGAAGAGTATGGGTGGAGATGCTGGGGAAATGGGGAATAAGGCCAGAGAAGTCCCAGGCCAGCCGGATGGCAGAGGGCTTGATTGTCAGCTGAAGAGCATGAGCCTGGTTTCTCAGCCCATGGAGAGCACCGAAAGTTTTGATAAGGATAACGGCCCTGGTCCTTGGGGTGGAGAATAGAATGAGTAGGGTGAGGTGGAGGCAGGGAGAACAATGTGGAAGGGCTATGGCCTGGACAGGGCAGTGGCTGTTAGGGTGGGGAAAGATGCACATGTGAAAATCACCTTCAACAGAAGGAAAAGCTTACAGAACATGGACTGGGGGGAGGGGTGAGAGAGAACAGGTAGTCAGGGATGATCCTCAGGCCACACAAGCAGGCCCTTGGAGGTGCAAGTGGGTCAGGTGGAGAGTGTGGTTGGGGCGGGGGTGGTAGTTTTCTGAGCACAAAAGTCTGTGTCCCTTTGGGCATCTGTGGCTGGGAAGGAGGGCTTTGCTCCGGGTAAGATGCAGGTGGGAGGCTGCAAGCATGTTGTATGTGGCAGGGCTAGGTGCTGTACCCAGGCAGACCCAGGACCTGTCACAGGAGAGGTGTCTCAGGGAAGAGAGCAGAAGGCAGTAGCGGGCAGGAGCAGGGGATGAGCAGCCACTTGCCGCCACATAGAATGAGTAAAAGGAGAGTTCGGGGGTTTTTTGCACTCAGAGGTGATTCTGAACTGGACCTTCCTTTCCATTATCCCATTATCAATGAGCACCTCCCACGTGCCAGCTAGTGGCAGAACCATGGTGGCTTCCAGCCCCAGCCCCTATTTTTAAAGAAGTTTCCATCTGATGGGGGAGAGAATGGGTTCCAATATTAGGCTCACCATGCTCAGTGCCATGAGAGAGGGACAGAGGGACAGGTCAGGGAAGGAACCCTCAAGGAGGTTTGCTCACAGGGACATGGGGAAAGGACAATTCCAGGAGAAACAGCCTGAGCAAAGGCCTGGAGACAGAAGTCCATCAGTGTAGACTGAGCCCAGGCAGATTTGGGAAGGGGAGAAGGGGAGACAGGAGATGGAGAGACAGAGGAAGCAGCTCTAGAAAGGCAGATTCAGGTGGATGCAGGTGACCTGGGTTCTGGCTATGGATGGGAGCTGTAGTGCAGGCAGCAAGGAGGGAGAGTGGGGTAGGCAGAAGGGAAGGATGATGGAAGCTTTTCATAAAGGCAGAGGCAGGGTGGTTGCTGGGCCTGAGAGGTCAGTGGGCCCTGGCCGCCTGTCTCGCTCGCCAGGACCTCTCCATTTCCATTACTGCCTGGGTCCTGACTCCTTTATATTACATTTCTGGATCACCCACTCATAAATCCTCTTCCTGCCTGGGGCTGGGAGCCCTTGAACAGGCAGCAGCTTTGATTTAAAGCAGGGCTGGCAGTAAAGGGGGAACAAAACTACCCAGAGAAGAACACAGGCAGCAGAGGCTTCCCTGGGGGAGATATGTAATTAAAGTGGGGCCGCCTCTCTCTTCCTGAGAGCTTCCTAGAGGATGGACGAGGGGAAGGTTGCCACCTGCTACATCGGTCCACTGGGCCAGCACATTCCCAGTTCCAGGAGGACAGGGCCAGACTCAGAGCTGCACACACTAGACTCCAGCTGAGCTCCCTGCTGTAGTCAGCAGACTTCTAAGATTGTCTCCAGTAATCCCCACCTGCTAGTAACTATGCCCTTGTTATGGTGGGAGTCTGGGGTGGATCTAGTGACTTGTTTCTAATGGATACAGACACATAGCAAATGAGATGGGTGCCACTTCCATGACTGGGCTATTAATACGAAAGACTGTGAATTCCTTCTTGCTAACAGTCTCTCTCTGTCTCCCCCTCCCCCTGCCTCTTGCCTTCTTGGTTTGCACACTTTGATCAAGCAAGCTGCCATGTTGGAGTGGTCCACATGACAAGGAACTGAGTGGGGGTCTCTGGCCAACAGTTAGAGAGGAACTTAGGTCCTCAGTGCAACAACATCCAAAGAATTAAATCTCATCAACAATCGCATGAATGAGATTGGAAGGAGATCCCTCCCCCAGGCATCATCAGATGAGACCACAGACCCTGGGCTGACACCTCCATTGCAGCCTCACAGAAGAGGCTGCATCTGTCATCAGATGACATAGAAGATATCGCTAAGTCATGCCTGATCCCAGGCCCACAGAGACTGGGAGAAAACAAATGTGTACTATTTTAAGCTGCCAAATTTTAGGGTAATATGTTACACAGCAATAGATAACTCATACACCTGCTGATTTGAGCCAGTCAATTCCTTGCTCTGAATCCCAATGTTCCCATCTGAATAAATGGGCTAATAATACTCAGCCCAAGGGATTGATCAAAGATCAGAGCCAAAAGCAGATGGGAAAGAGCTCTGAGTGCTGTAAAATGTTGTGTACATGGGATGCATTTTTGTGAATATAATTATCTCAGTGAGGGGTTGGGGAGAACATGGTTCTTATCTTGACTTCTCAACTTATAGACTGAGAGGCCTTGTGTAAGTCAGTTAACCTCTCAGTCCTCAGCTTCCTCATCTGTAAAAGGGGTTTGTTGGGAAAACGAAAGGAGAATTCAGGTAAATCATGCAGCATGTGCCTAGCGTATAGTAGGCACTCAGAAAAAAATCATGGCCCTTCTTGATTCATGTTGTTACTGTTGTGGTGATTCTGAATGAGATGAAGGGATGAGGACGGTGAATGCTGGTTCTTCCCACTGCACTGGCGCAAGAGCCTTGGCATCTGCAAGATCTCTGGACCACCAACCTGATCTCAGCCGAGTGTGCCTCTCTGGGGAAGCTGACAGCAGAGAGCAGATTGATCCTGCCCCAAGAATCACCCTATGCACGAGCTTGTTAAGGCTGCCTTACTAAGGAGCTGCTGGCAGAGAAGCACCTGACATGGAGGACGCAGAAGCAGAGCTGGCCCTGTGGCCTGTTCTGCAATGGACTGGCTGCTGTTTATTCTGTGTTTCTGAGACCAGCCCCAGAGTGCTCTGGGGATGCCCTGGAAGTCTTTGATGGGAAAGTCAGGCTTTCTGAGCAGTGACAGTGATGTTTCGGAACCAGGTCAGACAGCATGTGTTCTGAGCTGAGGATGCAGAGTGATGATGGGAGATGAAGGAGAGGAGGGGTCAGAAAGGACATCCTGGGGACAACATACACCTTGGTTAGCGATCACCATTCCTGGTCT